>NC_000003.12:129311634-129463149 GCF_000001405.40 Homo sapiens | reverse complement strand
ATGGATCCACTGGGGGAAACTGGATGAAAAGTACATAGACTTCTTGGTACCATCTTTGTAACTTACTATGAATCTATCATTCTTTCAGAAGAAAAATAAAATAGATTGGTAAAGTTCTAGCCAACTTTTCAGGGATTTGACTCTCAAAGAAATGACAGTTTCATTGTTTATAACTTTGACACTGCAACCAGAGTATAACCTAGCATTTAAAATAACAATGATGCTTTCTGAAAATCTAGTTTTCTTTCATAGGTCTCAATCACAACACATGACTCTATCTGAGCTGTGCCTCTCCCATGGCACACTGGTCACCTAAGGCTTGCTCCCCCCTGTCCCAGATGCCCTGGCTCAGTGCCTCATAGCAAGTGTATGTCTAGACAACATAAGCAAATTCTTCTATTTGCCAAGTTGCGAAGTACAATCAAGAAGGTAACTCCAGTGCACAAATACATGGCCAAGTGCAACATCAAACAAGTTATTTTTTGCCTTTCCCCTGGTCCAGAACGCTTCCTCCAAACATTTTGACGTGTGCACATGTTATCTGTGTTCCACTAAGCCTGCCTGGAGCCCCAAGCTGGAAGAAACTCCTTCCTCCTGGGCCTCCTTCAGCAGTGCTTAGCAGAGCAGGCTCTGTATGCAATCACCTGGTCTAAAGTCCAAGCCCTGGTTCCTCCACTTACTAGCTAAGGGACCTCTACCTCTTTTTCATCAGTAGGGTGGGAATGAGAATAATACCTGACACCTCAGGGGCTGTCATAAAGCTCAAATAGAAATTCATTTCTAATCCTTAGAACAGTGCCTAGCACACTGCAAGCATTCAATAAATACTAGTACTTAATATTATATTTTTTTTAATCCCACCTTCTCCTAAGACCACAAGCTCCTTGAGGGTAGGGATTCTATTTTGCCTTTTTAATATTCCAGTGTAAGCACACAGACCAGTGCTTCACATGAAGAAAATGCTATAAAATATGTTAAACAAATGACAGGCCTTTCTCCATGTATTTATACAATTGGCTTTCAATTCCATTCTCTCTTTTGAACCTCAGAACCAGAACCGTATCAGTGAGACACAGTGAGTAGCATGCTCCTTTTAGATAAGGGAACTGGAACACTGAGAGGGATTAGGCCTCTGACTCCTCATCTAGTGACTTCATTGTATCCACTAGCAACGAACACAGACTGATAGAGCTGAAAACAGAATCAACCATTAATGGAAATAACCTACAAGCCTCTGCCCAATTTCACTCCCTTCCTCCCTCCACAGACATTTTACTGACACCTCTTTTGTGCCAGTACTACACCAGTGCTGTAATGCTGGCACGGGACCGTGGCCAGGATGAACTCCTCAAGGTGTTCAGCCCCTCAGGGAGGACAGCTACAGCCACCTAAACCAGTAATGACGACAAATTGCACAAGAAGTAGAACCGCAACAGTGAAGAATTTCACATAAACATAGATGTGGGTCAATACAAAGGTGAGGACAACTGCACTGTCTCTGCCAGGGTGAGTCAGGGAAGGCTTCCCAGAGGCAGCAACACCAAGGGAAGGCTTCCCAAAGGCAGCAACACCAAGTTATGCCTGTGCCCTCCCAATCTTGTTACCATTTCCTTTGCTGGGGCCCTTCCTGTAGTCTCTGATGTCTTACCAGAGTAAAGGTCACCATTCACTGTCTTGGTTTCCACACAATTTAAAGAATAACTGTCAGCCTCCCCTCAGCCATTGAAGGTAGAGAAGTAGTATTAACTCTCTCAGGATAAAATCACCATATTCTGAATGCATTTTAGCATTTTTAGCCCAGATTTTCAGTTATTCCAGGACAGGACATCAGGAATCAGAACGTACCAAAGTCACTGGAGGAACAAGATGCCAGTTGATGAGTAATAGGATTGTAGGAGACACATTGTATAGCATCATTGTGCCTGGGAAGTAAACAACTGTAGATTACTATGCAGCAAACCACAAAGATTTCAGTGGCTACAACTGAAGATTTTAATAATGAGCCCACAGCCTCTGACTTTAGACCACATGCTCTTCTGCAAGTGACCAACAAAAAGCACAGAAATTAATTCTCCTACTCCTAAAGAATTAATTCTCCTTCTCCTCACCCACTGTTTTCTTATTTGTAGAGATGGGGACTCACTTTTGGCCAGGTTGGTTTTGAACGCTTGGCCTCAAGCAATCAATCCTCCCACCTTGGCCTTTAGGTGCTTTATCTGTGGCTGTTACTCTTACTGTTTTGTGGAGGCCCAGAAATGGAAGATGGAGGTGCAATGAAGACATCACAGACCAAGATCTGGAAACATGACAAATCCTTAGACAACAATGAAAGCTGAGCAAATCATGTACCATGCAAGGCGTCTCAACCCGTTTTAGTCCTTCACTTGTGGGTAATACTTTACTTACAACTTCACTCATTCATTCATTCCTTCAAAAATTGTTTGTTGATTTGTACACCCATGTTCATAGCAGCATTATTCATAATAGCTAAGAAGCAGAAGCAACACAAGTGTCCATCAACAGATGAATGGATAAAGAAAATGTGGTCTATATATACAATGGAATAATATTCAGACTTAAAAAGGAAGGAAGCTGAGCCCAGTGGCTCACACCTGTAATCCCAGCAGTTTGGGCGGCCAAGGGAGAAGGATTGCTTGAGCTCAGGAGTCATAGTGAGACCTCGTCTTCATAAAAAAAAATAATAATAAAGAAAAAAAAGGAAGTAAATTCTGACACATGCTACAACACAGAAAGTAAATTCTGACACATGCTACAACACAGATGAGCCTTGAGGACATTACGTGAAATGAAATAACTCAGCCACAAAAGAACAAACATTGTATGACTCTACTTATATGAGGTATGTAAAGCAGTCAAACTCAGAGAGACAGAAAGTAGAATGCTGGTTTTCAGGGGCTGGGGGTAGGAGAGAAGGGTGAGTAGGTATTTGAAGGATATAGAATTTTAGTTTAGCAGGATAAAAGAGTTTGGGAGATTGGTTGCACAACAATGTAAATGTATTTAACATTAAACTGTAAACTTAAAAAGTAGTTAATATGATAAATTTTATGTCATGTATATTTTACCACAATTGAAAAGAGGCCAGGTGCAGTGGCTCGTATCTGTAATCCCAGTACTTTGAGAGGACTGCTTGAGCCCAGGAGTTCAAGACCAGTACAGGCAACAAAGTGAAACCCTGTCTCTACCAAGAAAAAAAAAAATTTAAAAATTGGCCTGGTGTGGGGGTGTGCACCTGCAGTTCCAGCTATTTGGGAAGCTGAAGTAAGAGGATTATTTGAGCCTGGAAGGTTGTAGTTGCAGTGAGCTAGTTACCACTGCACTGTAGCCTGGGAGACAGAGCAAGACTGAAAAGAAAGGAAGGAAGGAAGGAAGGAAGGAAGGAAGAAGGGAGGGAGGGAGGGAAGGAAGGAAGGAAGGAAGGAAGGAAGGAAGGAAGGAAGGAAGAAGGGAGGGAGGGAGGGAAGGAAGGAAGGAAGAAGGGAGGGAGGGAGGGAAGGAAGGAAGGAAGGAAGGAAGGAAAGAAGGAAGGAAGGAAAATTGGTGAGTACCAATTATGGGCTAGGCATTGTATCAGGGACACAAGAGTGAGAAAAAAAAAATAGATGTAGTCAGGAGATCGAGACCATCCTAGCTAACATGGTGAAACCCCATCTCTACTAAAAATACAAAAAATTAGCCTGGCATGGTGGTGAGCGCCTATAGTCCCAGCTACTCGGGAGGCTGAGGCAGGAGAATGGCGTGAACCTGGGAGGTGGAGCTTGCGGTGAGCCGAGATCGTGCCACTGCACTCCAGCCTGGGCAACAGAGCAAGACTCTGTCTCAAAACAAAACAAAACAAAACAAAAAATAGATGCAGTATCTGTTCTTATGGAACTTACAGGCCGATGAGCAATACTGATCAGTCACCAGAATAAACCTAAAACTGCAATTGTGAGAAATGCCTCGAAAGAGACCTGTTCCAGTCTAGAGAGGCAGGAAAGTCCTTACAAAGAAACTGACATTTGAGTCTGAGATCTGCAGGGTAAATAGGGACCAACTAGTAGAGGAACAGGGGAAGAACACGGCAGATCCCCAATAGTAAGAGGAGGCCTGGAGCACACTGACCCCAAGTTTCTGACATTTGACACTGGGTGGATATAAGGCCATTCTCTGAGACAGGGACACTGGAAGATGACAGGTTGGGGGTGGGATAAAGTCTACAATGTCAGATGAACTGAGATGAGCTACATAAAAGCACCTAGCCCAGTGCTGGCCACGCCAGTAAGTGGCCAAGAAATATTCATTAACTTATTCACTACTCAACCTTCCTATACCAACCACACACACCCACAACTTAATTTCAAGTTCAATTTAAGAGAAAAAAGTTTTCTCCTACATCTTTTCTAAGAGGCTTTTGCTGCAATTATTCAATAAGCATCAAACTCATAATACTGTACACCTAAGTTACTTACGTGTACTTCAGAATGCCTTCCAGTTTTGATGTCCAGATAATAACGCTTTTGTCAGCTGATCCAGAAGCAAAGCGCTTGCCTAAAAGTGTTTGTAAAATGGAAAGTCTTACATTTATCTTAAACCAGCATTTCCCAGAGAGAATTCTTTAGAAAACTAGTTCTTTAAGGTACCTAGTAAGTGTTAGCTTCTTTCCTAGTTCTTATCAGTACTGGGAGGCAGGACCTTGGAGTCAGAATATTTGGGTTCCAAACCTGCTTTGTCTGACACTGAGTAAACAAAGATGTATTGGGAGCCTACTACATGTAGCTGTCATGTTCTATGCTAGGGATTAAGTAATGATTAAAACACACATGATCCCTACTTTCATAAAGTTCAGTCTAGTGTAAGAAGTACACATCAAATTAATCTAACACAAATACAACATGGTAAGACACGGATCCTATGAAAGAGAATAACTGGGGAACCTGATTTACTTTTTTACTTAAATTTTTATTTTTGACAAATAATAATTATATCTACTTATGAAGTACAATGTGGTATTTTATATACATACACATTGAAGAATGATTAAGCTAATTAACATATCCATCACTGCAGATACTTATTTTTTTATAGTGAGAACATTTAAAATCTATTCCTGGCCGGGAACAGTGGCTCACACCTGTAATCCCAGCACTTTGGAGGGCTGAGGCGGGTGGATCACGAGGTCAGGAGATCGAGACCATCCTGGCCAACACGGTGAAACCCCGTCTCTACTAAAAATACAAAAACAAAATTAGCCGGCCTGGTGACGGGCGCCTGTAGTCCCAGCTACTCTGGAGGCTGAGGTGGGAAAATGGAGTGAACCCAGGAGGTGGGGCTTGCAGTGAGCCGAGATCACGCCACTGCACTCCAGCCTGGGCAACAGAGCGAGACTCCATCTCAAAAAAAAAAAAAAAAAAAAACTATTCCTGTGCCAGTTTTGAAATATACGCTATTATTAACTATGGTCACCATGCTGTGCAATAGATCTCAAAAATGTACTCCTTTTGTCTGACTGAAACTACCCTTTGGTCAACATCTCCTGGGGGACCTAATTTAGATGAGGGAACATTTCTCTAAGGATGAGATCCTTCAGTGGAGACCTAAAGGATGAGCAGAGCTTAGCCAGATGTAGAGAGGAGACAGACCCATCCACATGGATGGAACAGATGTGCAAAGGCCCTGAAGCAGGAAAAGCCTGGCATGTCTGAGGGAATGAGCGGAGTCATCATGGAACGGAGGGAAGGGTGAGGTGGGTTGTGGAAGGATCTCTTGGGACCTCAGGGACACAGCAGAGGCCTTGCTCTTTATCCTAAAGCAATGGGAAGCCAAAGAAAGGTTTTAAGCAAAGAGTGATAGATCAGATTCGCATTTTCATACTACTTGGGCTTTATGAAGGAACAGACTGGAGAGAGGCAACATATAACAAGTAATTTGTTATTAATTACACTGTTCCACATTTATAAGCATTTGGAAGAGGATCACGGTACCATGGCAGCAAATAACGGGGTCTTCACCTACTCTGGTGAGAGACGAGGATTAAGAGGTAAGTATGTGCCACATTCTGTACATCTTAAGGACTTTTAGACTTTATTCACAGGGCAAGTGGAAGGTGACCTTGGGCAAGTCACTGTTCTCTGAGCCTCAATGCCTTCATCTGAAACACAGAGGAACAGTATCTTCCTCAGAGTCTTTTTATGGGAGTCAACTAAGATAGTATCTGTAAAGTACCTTTTTTTTGAGACTAAGTCTCACTCTGTTGCCCAGGCTATAGTGCAGTGGCACGATCTCGGCTCACCGCAACCTCCGACTCCCGGGTTCAAGCGATTATCCTGCCTCAGCCTCCCGAGTAGCTGGGACTACAGGTGCCCACCACCACACCTGGCTAATTTTTTGTATTTTTAGTAGAGATGGGGTTTCTCCATGTTGGGCAGGCTGGTCTCAAACTCCTGACCTCAGGTGATCCGCCTTCCAAAGTGCTGTGATTACAGGCATGAGTCACCACGACTGGCCCTTTTTGAGACGGAGTCTAGCTCTGTCACCCAGGCCAGAGAGCAGTGGCATAATCTCAGCTCACTGCAATCTCCGCCTCCCAGGTTCAAGCAATTCTCCTGCCTCAGCCTCCCAAGTAGTTGGGATTACAGGCACACACCACCATGCCCAGCTAATTTTTATATATTTAGTACAGACGAGGTTTCACTGTGTTGGCCAGGCTTGTCTCAAACTCCTGACCTCATGATCCACCCGCCTTGGCTTCCCAAAGTGCTGAGATCACAAGCATGAGCCACCACACCCGGCCAAGTACCTTTTACAGTAGCTGAAATAGTAGATATTAGGGTGAGCCATATGATATTGCTGCAAATACTAAATAAACAAAGAAACTGCTCTTACTATTTCCATCACTCCTCCCTCATCCTGGTAGGTAGCAGGTGATGGTGATGAAAAGCATAAGCTTTGGGCTCAGAGTCTCTGGGTCAGAATTCCTAGAGATCTCACTGACCAGCTGCATGACCCAAACAAGCTACTGAAGAGCTTTCATTTCCTTATTTGAAAAATGGATACAATGTTAGTATTTACCTCATGGTTGGTGTGAAGATTAAATGAGTGTATGTACATGTGTACATACAGTTGACCCCTGAACAACATGAGTTTTAACTACATGAGTCCACTTTTACATGTGAATTTTCTTTTGCCTCTGTCTCCCTGGCACAGCATCACCAATCCCTCTTCCTCCTCCTCCTCCTCCTCCTCCTCCTCAGCCTATTCAACCTGAAGACAATGAAGATGAAGACCTTTATGATGATCCACTTCCATTTAATGAAGAGTAAATATATTTTTCTTTTTTCTCAATTAACATTTTATCTAGCTTATTTTAAGAATACAATATATAATACATATAATATTAAAAATGTGTTAACTGTTTATGTAACAGGTAAGGCTTCTGGTCAACAGTAGGCTATTAATAGTAAAGTTTTGGGGGGTTCAGAAATTACATGCAGATTTTTTATTGCACAGGCAGTGGCACCCCTAACCCTTATGTTGCTTAGAACTGGGCCTGGAATAGAATTAAAAAAAAATTAGCTATTTCTATTATTTCTTCATATTATATTGTTTTTCTTGAACAAAAAAACTATGTCTTACATACTTTTATATCATGGTTGCTCATTAAATACTTATTAAACTTGGGCCAGGCATGGTGGTTCACGCCTGTAATCCCAGCACTTTGGGAGGCCGAGGTGGGCGGATCACGAGGTCAGGAGTTTGAGATCAGGCCGACCAACATGGTGAAACCCTGTCTCTACTGAAAATACAAAAATTAGCTAGGCATGGTGGCGCGTGCCTGTAGTCCCAGCTACTCAGGAGGCTGAGGCAGGAGAATCACTTGAACCAGGGAGTCAGAGGTTGCCATGAGCCGAGATCGCGCCACTGCACTCCAGCCTGGGCGACAGAGCGAGACTTCATCTCAAAAAAAAAAACAAAAAAAACTTAATGAACTTAAAGGAGAAATCAGAAACAAGCAGACTTAAAGAGCAAAGCTGGAATTCAGTGTATCTCAATCTTCAGGTCTAAGAGGAAAAAACCAATTCTGAGGACTAAAAGACTTCTTAATCATTATACAGGTGTCATGAAGAGGCAGCATGATACACTAGAAAGAACAAAGACTCTGCAGTCAGAGAACCTGGGTTAGGCCTGCCTCTGCCACCATCACCTGTAATTGCTCCAAGTCTGTTTTCTCATCTTTGAGCGGAGATAAGAGTCCCCTTGCTGCCTGCTTCAGAGAGTTGTTGGAAGCATCAAGTGAGATGTGTGTGACAGGACTCTGCAAAGTGCTGTGCAAATGCCACTACTGATGGGTCACACTCTGACATCCTCAAGTGCCCTAATGGTGTTGCAGGTCAAAGAGCCCTGCTATGCTTATAAACACCAGAGGCACCAGAGGCCCAATAGCTCTTCTGTACCTACTGGGCCTTATACTGGGCCCTGGACTGACCCACATTCCTCAACAGCCACTAGGATGAGACAGAAACAGTTCAGCTCTCCAGGCTCCCTCCTCACAGGTCTCCCTAAAACATTATTCTGAACTTGAACTCAAACATGCACACACACACACACACACACACACACACACACACACACACACAAATATGACTACCATGGTACAGCACACCTGACTATGAAGCAAGAAATTAGTTTTGTCTTTGGGCCAATCTGCTGCATGGCCTTGGCAAGTCACATGACTTGTCTTTTTTTTTTTTTTTTAAGAGACAGAGTCTAGCTCTGTCACCCAGGCCAGATTTTAGGGAGTCTCACTATGTTGCCCAGGCTGGTCTCAAACTCCTGCCTTAAGCAATCTTCCCAACTCAGGCTCCCAGAGCTTTAGGATTTCAGTAGGATTATAGGCATGAGCCACCGTGCCTGGCCAATTGTTTATGTCTTTATGCAGGACTAAAGTGAAGAGACTGGACTAATCAGACTAAAATTATATGCATGAAATTCTGCATACACATGAAGAATTTGCATCTTTCTAGAAAGTGGTCTAAAGCTTCCATCTGATTATCAAAGAGGCCCATCAGCCAAAAGAAGTTAAAAACCTGGGACTGGAATAATCTCCAAGGTTCATTCAAGAATTATAACATTACAATTTTGTGACTTCTTGGCAGTGGCTACAGAATGTTATCTCAATGTTATCCATTTGATACATGAAGAAATCGTGACTCAGACTCAATAACCAGCTCAGACTCACAGAACTCTGGTGTTGGGTTGGGGTTGGAACTCACAACTGTCTCATTCCAAAGCCCATTTCTTCCCACTAATCCTATGCTGTGGGACAACATGGATTTATTTTAAAATAAATTTAAATCTCAGTTTCATGCACCACTTCCCTTCCTTCCCAACCCACCTGGTACCCCAACTGTAACAATCCTTCAACACCACCAGAACCTACTACTTCTCCATTGCTGTCCTCTCTCCCTTCATTATTCAGCCAACAATTCAAGGTTAATGTACATAATTATTTATCTGTATACACTTTCTGCTCCCTTGCCCTCCTACTTCATCTTCAAATGTGCTTGCAAAACCACCTCTGGTTAAATTCACCTCTTCTGCCTCTACAACTATGCAGCTCAAAATCGCTGGAGAAAAAGACACAATCACACCAACTAATCTCACTTTCAATTCATGATCACAATCTTCAAGAGGGCCCTTCATGTCACCGGGGATCTCACTACACCTCCTGGGTCCACTCGCTGTCCCATTCTCTGAGGCAGTGACTTTACACTTTTTCCCTTTCTCTTCAACTCTCTGAAACCTCCCTTCCCCATTGCCACTCTCAGTTGCTGTTGCTTCCTATTTCACTGAAGAAAAAAAAAATGGAATTGAGAATTTCCATTAGATTCCTACTACCACATTGTCCCCATCTGCTGGCCTCTGCAGTTCCTACTGTGCCCCTATCTAAAGCAAATACCCCGTCTATGCCCTAGATCCCATCTCCTCTTGCCTACTCAACAACTCTGTTCCAGCAGTTCTCTCCCCTCTCCGACATCATCAACTTTTCTCAAATTCAGCATGTATAAAACTGAATTTCTGATCTTCAACCATAACTTTTCTCTACCTGCAGTCTTTTCCATCTCAGTGGGGGGGGCAACTCCAACCTTTCAGTCCTCAGGTCAAAAACTTGACTCCTTTTTCTTCATAGCCCATATCCAATCTGTCAGACAATCCAGTTGGCTCCACCCTCCCATTATATCCAGAGTCTGATAATTTCTCATCACCTCCTCTGCCCCCACAGAGGTCTGAGCCACCATCACCCCCTGTCTGGATGATGCTTCCTCACACAGATGTCCTAACCCTCACCTCTTGCAGGTTGTTTCCAACTCAGCAACTAGAGGGATCCTTTTAAAATACAAATCAAATCAGATCCCTCCTCTGCTGAGGACCTTTCAGTAGTTCCATTTTGACTGAGAATCAAAATCTTTATGATCTGACCACCCCATGTCTGTTACCACTTTATCCTCATCCTCTACAATTCCCGATTCTCTTTGATCCAGCTCCTAGCAGCCACACCCACACCTGAGGGCCTCTGCAATGGCTCTTCCTCTGCAAAGAGCTCTCTTCCCCCCGATGCCCACTGGCACAATCTCATTGCCTCCTGACTTCAAAGTCTTTTTCCTCACCTGTCCTCATCTCAATGAGCCCACCCTCACTAGTCTAATTCAATACTGTACCCAACCCCCTGCCCTGCCCAGCACTCTCAATCCCCCTCATTCTGCTCTACTTTTTCTTCTTCCATAACAGTTATCACCTTCCAGCATACTACTTAATTTACCTTTTTACTATGTTTACTGTATGTCTTCCCTCATACTTTCTTCCTCCCTCACTTCTCACCACCACCCCATAAAACAGAAGCCCCATAAGGGGAGGGACCACCGTTTTTTTCTCTGAAGTAACTCAAGCACCTTGAACAGTGCCTGGAACATAGATGACCTCAATAAATACTTGCTAGATTGAATGACCAAACTGAAGTCTTAGCAACTTCACTGTCTTCTGAACTTGCAACTTGTACTCCAGCTTACTAGAAATAATTAAAAAGTGACTAAAGAGAAAAATGAACAATGATGAGGCTATTATAGAGAATGGAAACCCAGAGCAGCCTTTTACCATCCTTCGCATATGCCACACAGTACACAGTGTCTTTGTGTCCCTTGAGGGGCTGAAGTAAGGTGCCATCAGAGGTGTCATAAACCTGGCAAAAGAGACAAATACAGATTATCTATGTGATATCTATTAGTCAGAATTCCTGCAGGGTTGCTACTGCTATTTTTGTTTTTATAACAATACGTGTCAATATTCTAAATCTGTAGCCAATAAAAACTGCACTGCAAAACCAAAAACAACGTGACTTAAAGTTGGGTAACCAAGAAGTAGAGGACCCAGGTCTATGTACTATGTGACCAGGAATATACTACCAATCCTTGAGAACCAAAGGTTCAATTACTCACTCCATGGAAATTCTTTATACTCATCCTTACCTGAATTTGGATATATGATTGATCAAGGCAGGCCCTCCTAAATAAAACTAGCCCATAAAAAGAGCCAGCTACAACATGATTAAATTTTAATGCCAGCTCTGCACTAAATCAACATAATAGATGTTTCATATTTGCTACCAAGAATTTGAAAGTCACAGAACTCTGGGCTTTCAAGTAGGAGGGAATGTTATAAAACCCAACTGTAGGCCAGGCATGGTAGCTCACTCCTGTCATCCCAACACTCTGGGAGGCTGAAGTGGGAGGATTGCTTGAAACCAGGAGTTCAAGACCAGCTTGGGCAACTAAGTGAAACCCCATCTCTACAAAAAATAAAAATAAATAAAAATAAAAAAAAATAAAAATTAGGTGGACGAGGTGGTGTGTGTCCACAGTCCTAGCTACTCGGGAGGCTGAGGTGGGAAGATCCCTTAAGCCCAGGAGTTTGAGGCTGCAGTGATCTATGACTGCACTACTGCACACCAGCTTGGGCAACAGAGCACAACCCTGTCTCTAAGAAATAAAATAAAACCCAGCTGTAATATGGATTTAGGTATTTGATAGCCATGTGACATCTATCACTATGTGGAGAGTTTAAAAACACACCATCTGGCCGGGCGCGGTGGCTCACCTCTGTAATCCCAGCACTTTGGGAGGCCGAGGTGGGTGGATTACGAGGTCAGGAGATCGAGACCATCCTGGCTAACACGGAGAAACCCCGTCTCTACTAAAAATACAAAAAATTAGCTGAGCGTAGCGGCAGGCGCCTGTAGTCCCAGCTACTCAGGAGGCTGAGGCAGGAGAATGGTGTGAACCCGGGAGGTGGAGCTTGCAGTAAGCCGAGATCGCGTCACTGCACTCCAGCCTGGGCGACAGAGCCAGACTCTGTCTCCAAAAAAAAAAAAAAAAAAAAAAAACACACACACACACACCATCTGAGAAATCAAGCGGAAACTTTCTGAAATGGTTAGAGTATTGGAAAAGATAACCTATGTAGAAAAACTAATAGAGTTTGGATTGTTTACACTGGAGAGAAGTCTGCAGAACAATTTAACCATGTTTTAAGATTATGTAGTTAACCATACAAAGAATGGAGATTAATCAGTCTGCGTATCTAGAGACAACAGAGAAGAGGAAGTAGACTTAGACAGAAAGAGAGATCATACAAAGGTTTTTTGGTCAAACATAAGGGGTTCTCTGAAAATTACTTTTATATACCTGGATAGGTTCCAGAGGGAGCTTATGTTATTTGAAAATATGAAAAATAGGACAACATCCATATGGAACTGTTTAGATAGGCCAATGCCTAAAAGTTGGGGTCAGGCTATCTGACTTTTCATGGACACAGCACCGTCAGTCCTGTTGCTTGAATTTTTCTGGGGGACAAAATGTAAACTGACACCAGTCCAGTTTCAAAGGCATTGTGATTGTTTTCAACTCTTTCATGGGTGTCTCAAAGTAAAAAGGGAAAGATGAATGACCCCAAAGGTGGTATTGTTCACAGGTTCTTATCTGATAGTTTACTTGCCCGTTTTAAATAGCCCATTTCCATCCCTATTAAAAAGTAATAGGGAAGGTTTTTCCACCCTTGCCTTTTTAATCTCAAAAAAAAAAAAAAAGGGTCAAATTTCAGAGTACTCACAAGAGGGAGGTTAGGGAAGCACTTTAAGAGGAAACTAAGACAAAATCCTACCAGTAATCTGCTTCCGGCAGCCAAAATCAGTTGAGTTCCATCAGGCTTAAATGCGATGTCATTTATACTGAACAGAAGACAAGGGAAAAAGACAATTAGGAACCAAAATGATGAAGTCTGCTAATGGCCAGGAAAGTAAACTTTATTGCCATTAAGAAACACTGTGTGTGTACTGAGGAGAAAAAGAATAACTACGAATTGCATTTGTTGCAAATTCCATTCAACCGCCACACCACAGCAGCCCATTCAATCATGATCCACTCAGTAGTTAGCTCTTTGTCCTGATTTCCTCTTGTCCAGAAGCCAGACACAAGAAATTATTCAAAGGGTCAACTGTTGAGGGTATTAACTCTTCTAATAATATCATAAAGGCTAGACAACATGAGAGAATGTGTTAAGGGCCAGTAAATCCACAGATACTTACTGAGTCCCTCTTAGGTGCCAGGCACCAACAGATATGAACAGATCATAATCCCTCCCTCCCCTCAGGGAAATTACTATCCAGTGAGAAGGTGTGAAACAGACACTTTCACAAAGAACTACCATATGTCATCAATTCTAAAGCTTACATTTTTTTTTCACATTTTCTCACCTCTAAGGTTGTGTCTTATAATTGATGATGTTTCAGTGTAACTGGCAGCATTTTTTGCTTTCTTATTGATACACAAAACAATGGTATTTTATAATCAATGACCTATTAGATTGGATGAAATACAGAACAGTACTCTGATAAAGGCTTTAAGAGACACATGAAAACAGGATTCGAAGGAGGAAGACGCAGTGATACAGGAGCTAGAAAGAAATTATTTAGCCAGATAGTGAAGGTAAAAGAGTCTTCGGCAGAACTTCCCTTTTAATAAAAAGCAGCCCAAGAAATTATTTTTTTCTAACAAAGAGCAGCCTGAAAAATCGAGCTGCAAACATAGATAGGCAAGCTGAGGCCTGGCGCAGCGGCTCATGCCTGTAATCCCAGCACTCTGGGAGGCCAAGGCAGGAGGAAGACTTGAGGTCAGGAGTTCGAGACCAGCCTGGCCAACATAGTGAAACCTTGTCTCTACCAAAAATACAAAAATTAGCTGGGCATGGTGGTGGGTGGTGAGCGCCTGTAATCCCAGCTACTCGAGAGGCTGAGGCAGGAGAATCACTAGAACCTGGGAGGCAGAGGTTGCAGTGAGCCAAGATCATGCCACTGCACTCCAGTCTGGGCGACGGAGGAAGACTCCGTCTCAAAAAAAAAAAATAAATAAATAAATAAAAAGGCAAGCTGGAAGCTTGCACTGGTGAATGCCGGCAGCTGTGCCAATAGAAAAAGGCTACCTGGGGGCCAAGTATGTTCAACATGGAGGTTCTGTCCTCCCTTTAATTTGTCACCACGTGTACAGTAAAGAAACGGGCAACATGGCGCTGGCCACGTAAATAACCCAACTGCATAATAAAAGATTAGGGTGGGGGTGGCCAGCTTTTCGCACCCAATGCAAATGACACACCTAGCCCTAACCAGTTTTTCGAAAGTTATGCAAATGAAACACCAATCCAATCAATCTTTTGTGCCCTATGTAAATCAGACACCACCTCCTCAAGCTTATCTATAAAACCTGCATTTCACCACAGAGGTGGCAACTCATTTTTTCGAGAACGCTGTCAGCTGCAGTGAGCTCTTCTCTTTCTTTCGCCTGTTAAACTTCTACTCGTAACCTCACTCTGGTGTGTCCGTATCCTAGTTTTCCATTGCTGTTGAGACAACAAATCTCGGATATTTACCCCAGACAATGACGCCGCTTCAACAGCATTTTAATTCAAGGAGAGGATCAGAAAAAGATTAATGAAGAAGATATTTGAAAAAGGTAGGGCTTTTGAAACATGGAGGAGGACACTGGGTAAAGGACATTTCAGGCAAAGAAAATAAAACAAGCAAAGACATGAAAGTGAGAAATAACAAGTGTAAAACAAAAATAAAATTGTAAGCCCCCCCAACCGTCTGAATGGACTTCCTCCTCAACCAGGGCTCTTTTAAAATTTAACCTGAGAGACTGTTTCAGGCCATGACGGGAAGTGGGCCTCTGACATGCCTCATTGTACCTCTCCGGCATTAATATCAACACAGACTTTAAGTATGATAAACATTTTAGGCTGGGTGCGGTGCTCATGCCTGTAATCCCAGCGTTTTGGGAGGCCGAGGCGGGCGGATCACGAGGTCAGGAGTTTGAGGCCAGCCTGACCAACATGGTGAAACCCTGTCTCAACTAAAAATACAAAAATTAGCCAGGTGTGGTGGCGGGCGCCTGTAATCCCAGCTACTAGGGAGGCTGAGGCAGGAGAATTGCTTGAACCCGGGAGACAGAGGTTGCAGTGAGCCGAGATTGCACCACTGCACTCCAGCCTGGGTGACAGCAAGACTCTGTTTTGCAGGGTGAGAAGAAACATTTTACAACCTATTCTTTCTGAAGCCTAGTACCCGAAGGCTTCCTCTGCAAATAAGAACATGGGTCTCCACAATCCTTTATCTTAACCCAGACATTCCTTTCTGTTGATCCCAGGTCTTTAAACAAACTCAGCCAATTGTCAGCCAGAAAATGTTTAAATTTACCTATAGCCTGGAAGCCCTCACTTTGAGTTGTCCTGCCTTTCTGGATCAAACCAATGTATTTCTTAAATGTATCTGATTGATGTCTCATGCCTCCCCAAACTGCACCCCAACCACCGTGGGCACATGTTCTGTGGACCTCCTGAGGGCTGTGTCACTGGCTGTGGTCACTCATATTAGGCTCAGAATAAATCTCTTAAAATATTTTGCAGTTTGACTCTTCTTGCCAACACAAGTAATCAAAATAATTTAATTTGACTGAAACATCTGGCTATGTGCAAGATGTTGCTAGAACATGGAGAAATGAGGCTAGAAAAATGGGCTAGAGCCATATTACAAAGATTTTTCAAATGCCCCAGGCAGAGGATTTCATTGGTTCAGGTGACTATAGTAAGAATGTGTCAAAAACCTGTCAAAACAGACTATTGTTAAGGTTACTACTGAAGTTACTCAAAACAAAACACACAAAAAACAAACAACAACAACAAAAAAACAAAACCCAACCCATAGTAAAAGTTTAGCATGGGATAAACTTGCCAGTGTCAACAAAAAATCAAACTCTGTAAAATATCTGAAGAGATTTATTCTGAGCCAAATATGAGTGACCACAGCCCATGACACAGCCCTCAGGTGGTCCTGAGAACATGTGCCCAAGGTGGTCAGGGTGCAGCTCGGTTTGACACATTTTAGTGAAACATGAGACTTCAATCAAATACATTTAAGAAATGCATTGGTTTGGTCCAGAAAGATGGAACAACTTGAAGCAGGGGGCTTCTAGCTTATAGGTTGATTTAAAATTTTTCTGACAATTGGTTGAGCTTATCTAAGGACCTAGGGTCGGCCGGGCGCGGTGGCTCATGCCTGTAATCCCAGCACTTTGGGAGGCCGAGGTGGGTGGATCATGAGGTCAGGAGACTGAGACCATCCTGGCTAACACGGTGAAACCCCGTCTCTACAAAAAATTAGCCAAGCATGATGGCGGGCACCTATAGTCCCAGCTACACGGGAGGATGAGGCAGGAGAATGGCGTGAACCCGGAAGGTGGAGCTTGCAGTGAGCTGAGATCGCGCCACTACACTCCAGCCTGGGCGACAGAGTGAGACTCTGTCTCAGAAAAAAAAAAAACAAAAAACCTAGGTTCAACAGAAAGGAATGCCTGGGTTAAGATAAAGGATTGTGGCAACCCAAGTTACTGTTTGCAGAGGAAGCCTTGAGGTACTAGGCTTTAGAGAGGAGAGTTTGTAAAATGTTTCTTATCATACTTAAAGTCTGTGTTGATGTTAATGCCAGAGAGGTATACTGAGGCATGTTTGACCCCCATTTCCCATCATGGCCTGAAACAGTCTCTCAGGTTAAATTTTAAAAGAGCCCTGGTTGAGAAGGAAATCCATTCAGATGGTTGGGGGGCCTCTGAATTTTATTTTTGGTTTATACCAGTAATCTAAAAATCAAGCTTTTGTCAGTAACTTGGAAGTACACTCTCAATGACAGTACTTCGAACTCTTATTCCAGACAGCACCTGCTGAGCTCTTAAAATGCATTATTTTATTTCATCTCCACAATAATTCTGTGAGGTAGGAATTATTACTCTGTTTTGTAGATGAGGATACCATGGCTCAGAGAGGTCAAGTAGTTTGCCTGATGTCACACAACTAGCAAGTGCAAGGGCCAGGATTTCAACTCAGGTCTGACTCTAGAGTCTGTGCTTGTAATTAACGCGCTATGCTGCCTTCTGCTCCCTTGAATTACTGCCAAGTATGTCAAATCTGTTATCCTTCATACTTTAATAACAGTGACTAACATTTATTGAACACATTTATTATTGTGTATGCCAGGTACAGCTTAAATGCTTTACATGTATTAACTCATGTTAACCTCAAAACAACTGTATACCTGTTTCACAGATGAGAAAACTATGGTACAGAGAAGTTAAATAACTTGCCTGAAAATAAAGTGCTACTGAATGGAAATGGAGCCAGGATTCAAACCAAGGCAATCTGTTTTTTTGTTTTTGTTTTTGTTTTTTTTGAGGTGGAGTCTTGCTCTGTCACCCAGGCTGGAGTGCAGTAGCAGGATCTTGGCTCACAGCAACCTCTGCCTCCCAGTTTCAATCGATTCTCCTGCCTTAGCCTCCTGAGTAGCTGGGATGACAGGTGCCTGCCACCACACCCAGGTCATTTTTGTATTTTTGGTAAAGACAGGGTTTTACCATGTTGGCCAGGCTGGTCTCGAACTCCTGACCTCAAGTGATCCATCTGCCTCAGCCTCCCAAAGTGCTGGGATTTTAAGTGTGAGCCACTGCATCCGGCCTCAAACCCAGGCAATCTGGCCTGAAGCCCATGTTTTAACCATTATGCTATGTGGCTGCCATTATCATTGTTGGCATATGTCAAAAAAAGGTATTATTACCTACTTAAGGCATTACATGAAGAATTCAGAAAGCTTTTAATATGGCTCTGTTGACCTGACGCTTCCTTTAATAAAAACTCTTCACAGTTATTCAATATTTAAGAATTGTTAAAGAGTGTAAACTTGGCCAGACATGGTGGCTCACGCCTATAATCTTAGCATTTTGGGAGGCCGAGGCAGGCAGATCACGAGGTCAAGAGATGGAGACCATCCTGGCCAACATGGTGAAACTGTATCTCTACTAAAAATACAGAAATTAGCTGGGCGTGGTGGTGCACACCTGTAGTCCCACCTACTCGGGAGGCTGAGGCAGGAGAATGGCTTGAACCTGGGAGGCGGAGCTTGCAGTGAGCCGAGATTGCGCCACTGCACTCCAGCCTGGCAACAGAGCGAGACTCTGTCTCAAAAAAAAAAAAGAGTGTAAACTTACATTATCTTATTTGATCCTTACGAAAACATAATGTAGTAGACAGGACAGGCACCACTGCCCCGATTTTACCAATGAGGAAACTAAAGTACAGAGAGGCAAGTTGTTTGCTCCTAGTCACAGAGCTGGCTGATAAAGAAGCTGGAACAAGGATGATTATCACACTCTTTCCAGCTGGGCAAACTGAAGCCCTGAGTTTTTCAGCTTCCTCACCATTATGTGGTAACAGACCTGGGCCTTCCTTGTTTCTTACGCTTTCTTCCTCTGAGCCTTGGCACATTTCACATTTTGAGAAGCAGCATGGCGGAATAAAAAGTAGGGGGGACGTGGGGCCAGAAAAGCTGATCTCCTATCTGAGCTTTCATTCTCACCTACAAAACAAGGATAGAGAGGTAGCCTCCTACTCACGGGGTGCACAAGCCAGTCTATCCAAAGCGCCTGACACTTGTGGATTGCTATGGTGGATTATTAGATGTTGGAGCAGTGTCTGCACCTCTCATCTAAAGTCATCCTTGGTATGTGGCTTCCTTTCTGCCTTGTACACATATGAGCTCATCAAAGTGATTCCTGTGTGACCTCTTCTTCATAAGGGTCATTTTGGGTTGAATTATCACAAAATCATTTCTGAATGTCTCATTTGAGCCAAGCCTGAACATTCTTCCTCTTAGATATAAAAATTCATTTTCTCTGAATATCTTGAAATTTGCCTTCCTAAAATATATCATATATGTCTGATTTGCCCCAATCTAAACTCTTAATGTACTTAGAATCTGTACATTTCAGTTTAGCTCTGACTTATACAGTCTTCTTTACATTGTGTTAGATATTATCTTGCCTTGCCCCTTTAATTATAGTCATACACAATTTGAAAGCAATGGCCATGTTCTACATATTTGTGGACCCACAGTGCATGGCACTGTCCTAGACATGTAATAAATATAATTATGAAATCACCAGAAACTCAGAATTGGAAAGGACTCTAGACCTTGTCATGCAGTCCATCTGGCCCATCAGGGCAAGAATTCCTTATAGATGGCCATCTAGCCCCTGCTTGAACACTCCAGGGCTGGGAGCTCACTCATTTGCAGGCAGTCTATTCTACTGTAGGATGGTTCTCTCTCCACCTGCCTCTTTTTATAAAAGAGATACACTGTCAGAAGACACACTGTCAGATTCCATTGCAGAGATACAGAGGAATCCTGCAAATTGTCCTCTGACAACCCTGCACCCACCTCACTGTAAACCAATGTCCCACAGTGCCTCTCCAATTCCTGCATCATCTGACCCAGCCCCACTTACTCATTTTGTAATCTTAGGTAACTTATGTCACCTCATTAAATCTCAATTTCTTCATCTTTAAATGAGATGAAAATTCCAACCTCACATGTTGTAGAGATTAAACATGATAACACCTATAAAGACATGTGGACATGTGGCCTATAGCAAGTACTCAGTAAATACTAGCTGGCATGAATGGAGAGTTACAGCAGATGCTAGCCTGATTGGAATACAGTGGGCTAGCCTAATAAGACATCCTGGTTGAGATGAACCTGGAGCTGTGCATTTAAAGGAGAAAACTAGGGAGTTCATAGAATAAGGGAGCATTTGGGAAGGATCTTCGGGTAGAAAAATAGAGTTTTCAGCTCAACCTAAAAGTATAAATTTAAATGTTGCAAGCCTGATGGGGAGGAGGGTCAGGAGGACCCTCTAGCAAAATGCACGACTTGACATGGAAAGTAATTGGGAATCACTCTAGGTTTATGAGAAGTAGAGTAACAGGATCACAGCAGCAGGTCTTAAAAAAACAGAGTTCCTGCTGCTATGTGAAGGTTAAAATAGAAGCAAAGGAGCAGACCGGGAGACAATGGCTGATTTGGATGTGGAGGACTAATCTTTGACATCTAGGATTTTTTTAGTTCTACTGTCTTTTTTTTTTTTGTTTAGTTTTTTGTTTTGTTTTCATTCTGGGCTATCAGCTGGTATATCTAGCAGCCATCAGGATTGATGGTCTATAGAACCCCTACATCCCTTATCCTAATAGGTTGTCTCAAATCTGTAATGGGCCAAAAACCAGAAAACCAATCTTTATTCATCATTCATTCACGTATGAATACATCTACCCACAGTATTTCGTTTTATATATATCTAGTATTTTATTACTATCCATAGTAACAACAACCACTGACCTGTCTCTAGAATAATTTGGAAACGAGTAAGACATAGCCATTGCCTTTAACGGGTTTATTAGACTTCTGAATTAAACAGATTTAAAAAATTAACTCTTATGCTCAACAGACTCTGGAAGTACCACAAGAGAGAAATGAACAAAATTCTGTGCCAGGGGTTGAAAACAGAGCAAATCAGGCTGCATTCGGCCAGCAAATGTTTTATTTGGCCCACACGGTGTTTTGTTTTTTTTTCAGAGTGGATGCTAACATTTAAAAATTAGGCCATTTCACATAAAAACCCAGATTCCTAGCTTCTGGTAAAAACAGGAAGAGCTGAGCACACTAGGCCAAATTCCTGCATGGTGGTAATTGGCAGGAGCTGAGCAGCAGCTGCCCCTTTTAGGCCGAGCATGAGCTCTGCAGTTTGCCACACTCTATTACTCTGACATTGAAGCCAAATGTTCAGTTGCCAGCTATCATCAGCTTGTGCTATAGGTACGTTTATAATAAAGTTAAAAGTAAAATGATTTTTTAAAACTCAAATCTCTATTAAAAGTACAAATGAAAGATTCACTGATACGGCTGTGTTTCAAGAAAAATGGGGTACAGAATACAAGACTATTCCTAGGGAAAACATACAATTCCTAGTGTTGAAGATGCAAATAAACATCTCCCATTTATGTTACCTGCCTGTCTCCTGCAGACATTTGAGTTTGCCACGTCTGTAACATAAGGAAAAATTAATGTAGTGGCTGAGAGCGTTGACGTTGGAGTGAGGAAGACCTGAGCTTGAAAGCTGGTTCCACCCCTCACTGTGTGACGCTGGCAAATTATCCACCCTCTCTGGGCTTCAGTTTCCTCATACATAAAATAGAGGAAATTATAGTACCTACCTTAGAGAGTGGTGAAGACACAACGAGATAAAGGATATGAAGTGCTTAGCCAGCACCTGGCACATAGTGTCAGCTACCACTAGTGCCGAACACAAAAGAGAGGACCCGTCTCCAACGTGAGCCTTGAAGGATGTTCAGGATTTCCGTGTGAGATGAGGAGAGACGGCATGCTTTACACAGAGAAAGATCTCAGAAGGGACAGAACCAAAGACAAGTAACCTGCTCCAGTGGCCAGAACAGAGGCTTCACAACAATGCTGAATGATTTTCAAAGTCAGGCCAAGACCTATCCCATAAGTAAGAATATGACAAAACAGACTGCTATGTTATAGATTTAGGCGATAACAATGGAATAGGACATTAAATAACTGAATCAAAAGGTGACAAAGTCATTCCCCTTCAGTTCTTTTTCAGACTTCCCAATTAGGAGAGCTTGTGTTTGGTGCTCATTTTGAGCACCTTTCTGATCATACCTGCCCATCTCCAGTTTTAGAGAAACGAGATCTCAGGTTTAAAGGCTCCCTAGCAACAATAGCTAGCTACAGCTTGTTCAGTTTTGTTTCTCCCTACTTTAAGTTTTACTTTTACACTTAGAGCAAGCGACGCTGATTTTATCTTAACATTTAGAGCAAGTGACACTGGTTTTCATAAATGGAGTAATAAAGTTTCCTTGTAAAATGTGAAATCATAATTAAAATAAATGAGACAATTTAGAGAAAAACGTCAAGAAAACAAGAGTATGGGTACTATGTGGATGTGGCAAGAACTGTGAAGCTTGAGCAGCTTCGTGCTGTCTCGTGGGTGTGAGATGAATCCAAGGCAGCGACAGGGCCAGACCGTGAGGGAAGAGCCGCCTCCACCCGCCACCACCTCAGGCGCGGCACCTCCCTTTGCCGCTCTCCAACCCTCGGGAGTTTCTCCAACCGCCAAGGGGCGGGAGGGCGACCCTGCAGTCTCCCAGGCCGGGGTTCAGTGCCCTCGGCCCAGGCAGCAAGCCCGCTGCCCCCCTCAAACACGCTGCAGCGGCTCGCGCACTCCCCGCGAGGACTCGACCTCCTGCTCTTCGCGAACCGCCCCGCTCCTCACCAGTGCTCGGCTTTATCTCTCCACGTCAACACGGCCCTCATCACGGCTTCCCTTACGGCTCGGGCTCCTCCTACCCGCCTCAGCGTCTGTCTCAGCAACCGCCTCACTAACGGTCGCCACTCCACAAGCCACTTTGGCTACCTGCGTTACCCCTGGCAACGTACATGCGCGGTAAGCTGAGTGCGAGGGCGCCTTGCTCCGAGCGCGCATGTCCGAAAGGGAAAGCCAGAAAAGCAGCAAAAGCAATGGTGGCACTGGAGCCCCTAAGGCGCCAGCGCAACCAGAGCGCGAGCGATTGGTCGGGGCGTGTGGGGGCGGTGCGTCTTCCTCGAGAATGGATTTGATTGGTGGAGCGTGGAAATGGCGGCTGTAGCCGAGGGGGCGGCCGGAAAGCAGCGGCGGCGTCTGGGGCGCTTTCGCAACATTCAGACCTCGGTTGCAGCCCGGTGCCGTGAGCTGAAGAGGTTTCACATCTTACTCCGCCCCACACCCTGGGCGTTGCGGCGCTGGGCTCGTTGCTGCAGCCGGACCCTGCTCGATGGGCACGACTGGGCTGGAGAGTCTGAGTCTGGGGGACCGCGGAGCTGCCCCCACCGTCACCTCTAGTGAGCGCCTAGTCCCAGACCCGCCGAATGACCTCCGGTAAGTTACTGTCCCCTTTTGGGCCTCAGTTTCACCACCTGTAAAATGGTATCGGGAGAGTGGACAGTGTGTGGGCCTTTCTAACCTTTGACAGAGGGTCGGCAGAAACCTCGAAGCCCACGGGTTTAGTTACTAGGGTCTGGAGCCCAGGTGCTCTTCCTGTGCGATCAGCCCTGGGGTGCGCTCGACTTCCTCATCTAAGATGACTAGGGAGACTGGGGGGGAGCCGGGAGGTTTTGTGAAAGAGGTCCCCTTGGGGTTGGAGGATCCTAGGAAGTCATTAGACTACGTGTGTGATAGGAGGTTAAGATTTACCTACTTTTTTCAAAATTTAATACTAAGAACTACTTTGAAAGAGGCATCACCTTCTTTTTACAGAGTCTTTTACCGAGACTTTGAGATGTTAAGTAACTTGCTGCTAAACTTACAGCTGGTAGAGCTGGAATTTGAGCCCCAGTCTCTTAAGAGTTTGTGCTGATTCCACCAGGCTTCAGTATTTTTATCTCTAAAATTGTAAACAATATCATTTCATAAGATCCATCCAGCTCCTCAAAATTATTTTACCCCAAATTACATCAGAAAACCTTGATTCTAATTCTAGTTCTTGCAGTTTCCCTATTTGTAGAAAAGAACTTGGGTTAAATGATCTCTCTAGACCCATCCACCTTTTACAATCTGTGGTTTAGTGATTAGGATACACTTTACTGAAATTTTTTTTTTAATTTTAAAAGTATGTTTTCATCATAGAAGACACATTGGAACTTTAATGAAGTTTTAGTTTAGTGGGTTTTTTTTTGAGATGAGGTCTCGCTCTGTCACCCAGGCTGGAGTGCAGTGGCACAATCATAGCTCCCTGAAGCCTTGACCTGCCGGACTTAAGCAGTCCTCCTACCCCGGCCTCCTTAGTAGCTGGGACCACAGGTATGCTCCACCACGCCCGGTTGCTTGTTTTTTTTTGTTTTTTTGGGTTTTTTTTTTCATTTTTTGCAAAGACGAGGATCTCACTGTGCTCTCCAGGCTGGTCTCAAACTCTTGGGATCAGGTGATCTTCCCACTTCCTCCTCCCAAAGTGCTAGCATTACAGGAATGAGCCACCTTGCCTTGCCAGCTTTTTTCAATAACAGTATGGGGGAGAAGTATTAGACCAAGATTTGGTAGACTTGGGTTCTCGTGTCTGTTCTGCAAGTAATTTAACCTGTCACTCAATTTTATCAATAAATTGAGAGTAAACCTTATTGTACCTACAAGGTTACCATGAGGATCAAGAATGAAGAAGATTCAAAAATTCTGTATCAAATTATTTACCTTCTGGAGGATTACATCTGATGAAAGTGATACACACTCTCTCCCAGAAATTTTACATTATGTAAAACTTTTACCTCATTTATTTGCAGAGAAGACAGTGTAACTCACTGATTTATTTAAGCATTTTCTGGTGCTTAAGAGCTTAGCTATTGGTTCATATTCTCAAATTTATGGTAAGTGCCCCCAGAAATCTTTATAATAGCCCTACTCAGTGATTAATCCGAAAAGTTTCTAGCTTGACTTTTTTGTTGTGCAGAGATTTCCAACACCTTTTAACCTGTGCTAGAGGATATGGGAAGCTTTTGGAAGACAGGAAAATACTCCCATAGCACAAGACTGGTCCACACTGACTTTAATCTCCCTCATTTTAATATGGATAATCTATGTGGTTCCTGCATTGTCATGGATTAAAACTGAGTAGGCAGTGGAAGATAAATTTTAAATAAGTTAATCACTTAGACTTTGTTTTTCCAGCAAAGAAGATGTTGCTATGGAATTGGAAAGAGTGGGAGAAGATGAGGAACAAATGATGATAAAAAGAAGCAGTGAATGTAATCCCTTGCTACAAGAACCCATCGCTTCTGCTCAGTTTGGTGCTACTGCAGGAACAGAATGCCGTAAGTCTGTCCCATGTGGATGGGAAAGAGTTGTGAAGCAAAGGTTATTTGGGAAGACAGCAGGAAGATTTGATGTGTACTTTATCAGGTAAGCATATAAGATGGTAAAGATAGTACAGCCAAATGATTTTGTCTGGGCAGGTAGTGGGAGCATAGCAGGAATCTTAGCTTCTTTATATTTTTACCATAAAACCATTGCAGATTCTATTCTTTCAATGTTGCTATTAATTACATCAAGTGATTTGGGGAAAATTACATACATTTTGTCCCTCCTTCTGTGAATGGTTAACGGGTAGGTTGCATTTTAGTTATATTTATAAATTTATATTGTCATAGAGGAAACCATTTAAAAGTGCCATTTATCACTCTTTTTCATTTTTAAATGACAGATACCTATGGCAACATTTGGAAATTAATTAGAAATCTGAAATGTGGTCCAGTTCTTTTAAAAGTCCCTTCTATTTACTAGCAGTAAGTTTCCTTTAATATCATTTTCTAGCCCACAAGGACTGAAGTTCAGATCCAAAAGTTCACTTGCTAATTATCTTCACAAAAATGGAGAGACTTCTCTTAAGCCAGAAGATTTTGATTTTACTGTACTTTCTAAAAGGGGTATCAAGTCAAGATATAAAGACTGCAGCATGGCAGCCCTGACATCCCATCTACAAAACCAAAGTAACAATTCAAACTGGAACCTCAGGACCCGAAGCAAGTGCAAAAAGGATGTGTTTATGCCGCCAAGTAGTAGTTCAGAGTTGCAGGAGAGCAGAGGACTCTCTAACTTTACTTCCACTCATTTGCTTTTGAAAGAAGATGAGGGTGTTGATGATGTTAACTTCAGAAAGGTTAGAAAGCCCAAAGGAAAGGTGACTATTTTGAAAGGAATCCCAATTAAGAAAACTAAAAAAGGATGTAGGAAGAGCTGTTCAGGTTTTGTTCAAAGTGATAGCAAAAGAGAATCTGTGTGTAATAAAGCAGATGCTGAAAGTGAACCTGTTGCACAAAAAAGTCAGCTTGATAGAACTGTCTGCATTTCTGATGCTGGAGCATGTGGTGAGACCCTCAGTGTGACCAGTGAAGAAAACAGCCTTGTAAAAAAAAAAGAAAGATCATTGAGTTCAGGATCAAATTTTTGTTCTGAACAAAAAACTTCTGGCATCATAAACAAATTTTGTTCAGCCAAAGACTCAGAACACAACGAGAAGTATGAGGATACCTTTTTAGAATCTGAAGAAATCGGAACAAAAGTAGAAGTTGTGGAAAGGAAAGAACATTTGCATACTGACATTTTAAAACGTGGCTCTGAAATGGACAACAACTGCTCACCAACCAGGAAAGACTTCACTGGTGAGAAAATATTTCAAGGTATCCAGTGCTTTCAAGCACTATTAAACATTATGTGATGAGAAATTTATAATGCTGCATCTTGTATTCGTGCCCATACATGGTTAAGATGTGAAAATAGAGCCAAGAAATAGGGCCAAATATGAGATACCAGTTGATCCTAATACTTTATCTTAAACTGATATTCAAGCAGTTTCCTATGGCAGAGAGAAAATCGGCTGACTGCTGTCGTGATGCCATGGCAAAGGAGAGTATTACTATTAACAGCTGCCATCGTCTCTCCCTGGTGCAGCAGCTGGGACTCTCCTCCTCAGCAGTGCTTTCCCTTCTTCCCATCCTCTTTCCAGCCAGTAATCTTAAAACTTGAAGGAAAATTAAAAGCCTTCACTTGTGAAAAATTTAGGGAAGGCTTCTTATATACATAAATGAGTGGAGAATAGTTGGTGTCTTCACACCCCTCCTGATACTTACTACTAAGTGTGACTTCCAATTTAATTTTGTATATATCATAGTCATTTTTATCTTCTATTTTAATGTAATGCTTCTCTAAAATGCTTTAGAGCTCTAAATAATTCAAAAGTATAATCACATAGTTCATCTATTATTTGTAATATGCTCTTAATACAGAATTCAGAACTTAGCAGTTTTGTCTTTATAATACCTCAGTGAATAAGAGATAAAAGGGAGACCTTTTGAGCAGCCCTGTATTAGTTATTCATTATGCCATTATGGTATAATGAATAACTCCTTTAAAGAATAATAATTTTACTTAAACTCCTGTGGGGAAACAGCCTGGAGAAATTTGTGAAGCAGGAGATTAGGTTTGATTCTTGTTCCCAGTTCTACCCATGATTTTATGTCTTTTCTGTGCCTGGAGTTTCTCTGCCTTTAACACAAGATGGCCATATATACCTAGGAACTGCATAAGAATTCTTCAAGTCTGTGTCCTAGACACTGAGCTTCTTGAAGAAAGCTTTGAGGTTTATGTAGATTTATTGCTAGCAAAATGGGCAAATATTAAAAACTTTTTTTTGTGGTAAGAGTCTAGTTCTCAACATGAGATGAAGTACTCTTAGTACGAGGTGTCCATGAAATAGTGAAGACACCCATTGGCTTAGCTAGAAATTGCCAAGTAAACCTGGCATAAAGGAGACTAGTAATTATTCATAGGAGCCCACAGAAAAAGTTGTCAAATCAGAGCAGTCAGAGCAGTTTCCTTTGTTCTTTTTTTTTTTTACTCTCTACTGGGCTTTACCTACTCAAACTAAAATAGCGAAAAAACAGTAGTCTAATTATCTGGAGACCTGGATACTTGTTCCAGTTTATAGTCAATCCCAGTATCATTTTGGGATGATTGCTTCATTTAGAAGCTTCACTTTCTTCATCTGTAAAATAGAGGTAACCATCCTGACTAGTCCTGTTTTTCACATCAAAAATATTGTAAAATGAGAAGTGAAAAAGATGCTATACAAATGCAAGGTATTATTAACTGATATTCAAATTGCGAGGGTATGGTTAAGGAGTATTACATGTGATTTTAGAAATTTGAGAAGTCTGATAACACTGGTTCCCAATAGATAGAGGTTCTCAATAGGTAGTTGTCTCAGGTGTTCTAGGGTTCAAATTGTAGGTTTTTCTGCAGATTCTGTTTTGTCTGTATCCCTTTTTTTGGTAAGCGTAAAAGTAAGTGTTCACTGCAGAAATTTTGGAAAATACAGAAAAGTAAAGAAGGAAAGAAAAATTAGCACTTGGCAACAACCATTATATCATTTTGGCTTATTTCATTCTTAACTTCTGTATTGTTATTTATATATGTTTCCCCTTTTTTATAAAATTGGGATCATATGTAGACTCTTGCTTTTTCATTTAGAAGTTAATAGGAAAATATTCACAATAGTCTAAAAAATACTTTAATGACCACATTATACAAATGCATCGTAATTTAAAATATTCCATACTGCCTTTAATTTTTCAATACTATAAACTCTGAACATAAGTCATAAAGAACTAGTGTCACAGAGTGGTTAAAGGTGAGGACTCAGGAGCCAGACTGTCTGGATTTGAATTTTAGCTGGGACACTTAGTATCTGTGTGATCTTGAGCAAGTTACTTAGCTTCTCTGTGCCTCAATGTCCTTATCTGTAAAGTGGAGATAAAAATAGTACCAAGTTCATGGGTCATTAGTTAGATTAATTGGGTATTTATGTAAAGGGCTTAGAATAGTGCCTGGCATGCTTTGTAATAGTGTTGATATTATTATTTGCATCCCTCAATATTGCTTTAAGCTAAACCATAGACTCCATAAAGTGTTTACTTTTCCTTTTCAGAAGATACCATCCCACGAACACAGATAGAAAGAAGGAAAACAAGCCTGTATTTTTCCAGCAAATATAACAAAGAAGGTATCCCTTTCCCAATCAGAACAGCAAATTCTAATTCCATTTTGGGTTTTCAATTCTGATGCACTATGTTTGTTTAGCTCTTAGCCCCCCACGACGTAAAGCCTTTAAGAAATGGACACCTCCTCGGTCACCTTTTAATCTCGTTCAAGAAACACTTTTTCATGATCCATGGAAGCTTCTCATCGCTACTATATTTCTCAATCGGACCTCAGGTTTGGGGATTATTATCATCTTTGTCTTAGTAGAGACAGTGTGGTAGGGAGAAAGCACTGAATTGAGGCCTGGGTTCAAAGTCCATTTTGAGTGTGTCACCTGGGATAGGGCATTCCCCCTTCACCCTTAAACTCTTCACCTATGAGGAAATGAGACTGGATGACATCCAACAGACCTTTTAGAATAAAGAGGTAGATTTTATTTATTTTATACTTCCAAATTCTTTTTGATCATCAGTGAAAATCAGTTAACGTTTCTCCACCCTCTTTCATGTGTGTTTAAAAGTATCTTTTTCACTGAATGTACCTTGTGTTCTATATGCTTCTACTCTCATTATCTGCTGATCTGATCATTTAAAAGCTAATCATGCAAGGCCAGTTTTCAGCATAATTTGGACTATTAGCCCAATATATTAGCAGTTTTGGCATTTGATTCTGAAAGTGGTTGCTGGTTCAGATAATGGCTTCTCACCAGTGTTTTTTTGTTTTTTGTTTTCTTTAAAAAAAAAAACCCTCTGGATGAGATTTCTATGAGAAACTACTTGAACATGAAATCAGCCCACCTGGAGTCTTGTAATCATTCAGTTACTTTTACTTCCCAGGCAAAATGGCAATACCTGTGCTTTGGAAGTTTCTGGAGAAGTATCCTTCAGCTGAGGTAGCAAGAACCGCAGACTGGAGAGATGTGTCAGAACTTCTTAAACCTCTTGGTCTCTACGATCTTCGGGCAAAAACCATTGTCAAGTTCTCAGGTATTTTCCTATACACCCAAAGGAAAAACATAATACATTGTGCTTATTTAAGAGAGCCACACCTTAAACTTTAATGTTCTCAGATACTATATTAATGGAGGTTTTTCAGCTCAAGCACCCAAGGCATTTAAAAAAGTCCACTTTCCCCAAACCACAGTCTCCCACTGACCTAAACAATAAATCTTTGCCCAGCACTGGGTCAGGCATGTGGGCAGAATTAGGGGAAGAAGTCAGTGAAGCAGAAAGCCCAGTTCTTGACCTCAAGGACATGACTTCTGTCTTGTTAGCACAGCACAAAAGAGTGGTTAGGAATTGGCAAATGATATGGGTGCTGCAGGAATTCAGAAGGAAGAGTAATCACAACTGGGGTTGCTGGGAAAGAGCCTTTCCTGTCCCTTTCTGCTGTTCTCTCCATCCTGCCCCATCACCACACATTTTGGGAGGGTGTCTTTAGAAGCTGACCTGATAATGTGGGATGTTGTATTCTTCAGATGAATACCTGACAAAGCAGTGGAAGTATCCAATTGAGCTTCATGGGATTGGTAAATATGGCAACGACTCTTACCGAATTTTTTGTGTCAATGAGTGGAAGCAGGTGAGGCTCACTCCCATCCATAATTCAGCACATTTGGTCTCTGAGGCAAAATAAGTCCACCATTATGGTTAAGACTATTTATTGGATACAAATGCTATTACAGTCACAAACAATTGTGTTCCTGGCTGCGGGGAAGCGGGTGGCATGTGGGTTTTGGGGTTTTTGATCAGTAGGCGCTCCCAAGTCCACAAAGACCAGTCCAGCGGCGTGGCCTCTGACTCATCTCCAGTGGTTTGTCACCTCTGGCCCTGTTCCTGTCATTCCCTATTTGTGTGCTATCTCTAAGCCTGACGTGGTTTTCCTCCTGTCAAAAGTACACCACTACAGGAAAGCAGGAAGGTTTGGGCCTGCAATGTATGCATATTGGGTTTCTCTTAGTGGTCTCAGACTACGTTTGTGGTGACTGGGTCCTGCTTCAGCCCTGTTGAATATGCCCAGCCTGTGGCATGCTGGTGGTCATCCTGGCAGCTGGTGGGTGGCCTGGTATGCTGCCCACTCAGCTTGAGACTCACCCTCATGCATTCAGCCAGTAGGTCTGGCCAAGCCTGAACTGAAGGACCATGGTCCTATCCCAGCTTCATCAGAGCAATCCATTGTGACCTGAGAATCCATTTAACCTCTCGGTCTAGAACCTCCTTCTGGAAAGTGAGGTATTAATACTTGACTCATGTTATCGCCACCCCACATTCTAAGTCATGGTTGAGTAGTAATTTGGACAGTACCTTGTAAATTGTGTGAGATTACCTTAATATAAGGTATAACTTAAAATATTCATGAATCCCAGGAGGTTAAAGGTTATAACTTTTAGGTATGGTATCGTAATGTACTGTCCCCCAGCAAACATTTAAAAAGCCAATTTTAAAAAATGTATTTCTGACTAAGTTACATTAAGGTCTCTGCCTCTGTATCTTATGTTTCTTCCAGGTGCACCCTGAAGACCACAAATTAAATAAATATCATGACTGGCTTTGGGAAAATCATGAAAAATTAAGTCTATCTTAAACTCTGCAGCTTTCAAGCTCATCTGTTATGCATAGCTTTGCACTTCAAAAAAGCTTAATTAAGTACAACCAACCACCTTTCCAGCCATAGAGATTTTAATTAGCCCAACTAGAAGCCTAGTGTGTGTGCTTTCTTAATGTGTGTGCCAATGGTGGATCTTTGCTACTGAATGTGTTTGAACATGTTTTGAGATTTTTTTAAAATAAATTATTATTTGACAACAATCCAAAAAAAATACGGCTTTTCCAATGATGAAATATAATCAGAAGATGAAAAATAGTTCTAAACTATCAATAATACAAAGCAAATTTCTATCAGCCTTGCTAAAGCTAGGGGCCCACTAAATATTTTTATCGGCTAGGCGTGGTGGTGCATGCCTGTAATCTCGGAAGGCTGAGGCAGGAGGATCATTTGAGCTCATGAGGGCCCAGGAGGTCAAGGCTTCAGTGAGCCATGATCATGCCACTGCACTCCAGTCTGGATGACAGAGAGAGACCCTGTCTCAAAAAATATATATTTAAAAAATAAAAATAAAAGCTGACCCCAAAGACAAATAAGATTCCTCTGGCATTGTGTATTGTTGACAGCTCCACACTAGCTCTTAGGAATTGTAGATTCCACCCCAGTATCCATTTGATAACCTAATGTGAATATGGGCCTGCTGCTCCATTTCAGCTCACTCACTCTTTTACCTTGGTCCCTTTGTGAAAACTCATTTCTCATCTTCCATTTGGAGTTTATACCATTTGGCCAGGCACAGTGGCTTACACCTGTAATCCTAGCACTTTGGGAGGCTGAGGCAGGAGGATTGCTTGAGCCCAGGAGTTCAAAACCAGACTGGGCAACATAATGAGACCCCGTCTCTACAAAAAATTTTAAAAATTAATTGGGCATGGTGACATACACTTGTGGTCCCAGCTACTCAGAAGGCTGAGGTGGGAGAATCCCTTGAGCCCAGGAGATTGAGGCTGCAGTGAGCTATGATCACACCACTGCACTTCAGCCTGGATGACACAGCAAGACCCTGTCTTAAAAAAAATAAGTCTTAATGCCATTTTTATTACAAGTATTGTTACAGTTCAAATACCAAAGCATTTACTATTAGAAAGAAACCAAGGGAAAAAACTAGTTACTATGTCTTAATTACCAACTACCATTTTAAGGTATAATTTGAAAATTAAATTGATTGAATAAATGAAAAATAAATCAGTTGTTCAGGAAACTGCCTTTGTTGTAGGGCAGTGTGAACCGAATCAGGCTGCAGTGTGATGCAGAGGTAGTTGGTTGTTTCCACTTTAGTGAGTGTCAGTTTTTAGAAGGATAGATTTTGACCAGAGAACAGGAAAACTGGCCACACCTCCCTCTCCCCAAGGCAAACCCACTTTATAGTTTACCATCACATTTTCATTTAACAAACATCCAAGTAGCATTCACAAAGTGTAAAGCCCTGTGGTGGGGAGGGGCACAAAGATAAACAAGTTCTGTACAGACCCTCACAGAGAGAAAGAAGGGCACCTAATAATGGAAGGGAACAAAAGCGGTAAGGAGTAGGGACAAGACACCCAAAGAGGGTGGAGAGGGGCCTCTGAAACCTTGGGCCCAGCTGGGCCTGGAGGGTGGGGCGAGCTCACCAAGCTCAGGGCATCAGGTGTGGCTTTGTGGTAGGGCTGGTGGTCACATACCTTCCCCCAGCATCTCCATGGGGAGTGTGGGCCCGTGTGAATGCAGGAGGCGAGCTCTGCACCAGGGGAGCTCAGGACACAGCCAGGTTGCTCAGGCTCTAGGCCTGGCTTTTCCTGTTTCTTGCAGGTGAGGTTGCCTGACCTCTGTACCTGTTAACTTGTCTTTTAAAAATGGGATAGTGGTGTCTACCTCACACAATGATGGTAATTATGAAGTTCAGACATGTAGTGCTAAAATGGTACCTGGCTTGCAAGAGTGCTGTGTGAATGTGGCCCATGGCAACAATCTGTTTGCAAGCGTCACAAAGATAGCTTGTCTCAGCAAAGGAATAAGGGCTTAGGTGTTTCTCTTTAACTTTTTAAAAATTGAGCTAAAAGCCACCATTTAACCATTTTAAAGTGTACAGTTCAGTGGTTTAGTACATTTACAGTGTGCAGCCATCATCACTAATTCCAGAAGTTTCCATTTCTTTTTTCCACTCCAAAAAGAATCTCTCCACCTGTTAGCAGTCACTTCAATTACTCACCCCATCCCCTAGCAACCATTCATCTACTTTCCGTGTCTGTGGGTTCGTCTATGCTGAACATTTCACATAAATGGAATCATACAGCACGTGGCCTTTTGTGTCTAGCTTCTTGCTTAGCATACTGTTTTGAAGGTTTATCCATATTGTAGCATGTACTTCATTCCTTCTTATGGCCATCCTATGGATATACCTCATTTTGCTTATCAGTTGATGCACATTTCAAGGGTTTATTATTATTCTCTGGTCCTCAGGTTCTGTAACTCCAAACCATGGCACCCTGCCATAAGCGGGGCAGAACATACCCAACACCTCTATCTGGCCACAGCTCACTTTGGTTCTTCCTAACCCTCTGGAGGAGGCAGGGCCTATTTTTCCTATGAGAAAACTGAGGCCTAGAGATATGGAGACCTGCGGAAGATCCCACATTTCACGGGAAAACCGGAGACTTTCTACACTGGATTCAGGGACTACTGGGCCGAACAAAGAAATCCCGCCTTTCACCAAGCCCAGAACTGGGCGGGGCGTGGATTTGCTCGCTGCCCCTCCCAGAATTGGACGAAAACGAGGTGGGGCCAGCAGGCGCTCGGCAGGGCGGGCTCGCTCTTAACACGTGACAGCGCTCAGCCAATTGGCGCGGGGCGTCCGTAGCCACGGCAACAGGTTGCTTCTGCAGTCTGAGCTGAGCGCCTTTCGCACGACTTGGAGTTACGGTTTATCTGATACCCCGGTACCCCTACGCAAGCAAGCCCACATCGACACACATTCACACACGCCCTTCAGCACCCCCTCCCAGCACCACGACCATGGACGACGACTATGAAGCGTACCACAGTCTGTTCTTGTCGCTGCTCGGTAAGCCCCGGGAAGAAGCGTCTGCAGGGAGCGCTCAGCGCCCTAAGGACGCGTGAAAGTGGGGTGAGGGCAAAAACTCAGCCACAGATATTGTGCCGACCCCCTCTGGGTGAAGGGTTGCCATGGAGTCGGGGGCAGGTCATGTACATTTCTGAGATTTCTATCTGAGCCTAGTTGGAGGAACCAGAGGCCCGACCCATGTGACGGGAGCCCTCCAGCTCGCCCTGTTTCTCTGCAGGACATTAATGTATTCAGTACTGGAGGAGAGGCATGGAGAAGACGTCAGTCTTCAAGGTTTTGGCAGTAATGTGCTGGGGACCAAGTTCTTGGCAAAGCAATGCAGCTTCACGGGTAAAGGACAGAGATAAATGGATAATTACAGAATAAGAAGGGGTAAATGCCGGGCCCAGGGATGACACCCAGGAGTAAAAGGTGTGCTGAGGGTATGGGATGGGGAGGAACAGTTCCAAGCTTTTGGAAAAGATCTTTACACTGGAGCTTAAAGGATAAAAAGGAGTTCTCCAAGCCAAAAGGGGAAGGAAAAGCATTTCGGGCAAGGAAACAGCATGACCCAAGAGGTCTGGTGTCTCTGGAAATGAGGTGAGAGAGGTCAGAAGGGACAAGATCATAAAAGATACTGCAAGCCAGGAGATGGAGAGGCCACTGGGAGTGGCAGGACTGGATTGGGAGCAGTCAGAAAAGACCTGAGACTGAGTTGGCAGACTCAGAATGTTGGTGTGGGGAGATGAGAGCTGGGGGCTATAAAGCTTGAAGACTGAAGGTCTTCTCCATGCCGCTTCTCCAGCACTGAACACATTAATGCCCAGTGGAGAAACAGGGAGAGCTGGAGAGGCTGGCCACCTTTCCCAGGCACACAGGTCAGGGCTCTGGTCAAATGCCCAAGCTAAAGATGCTGGGAGGTGAGGGAGAAGGCCCAGGCTAGAGGGAACTACGGGACTTGGGGGCTGGTTGGTCAGGAAACACAGAAGAGGCAAATAAAGATGGTTCTCAAGTTGGCAGCTGGGGGACCTGGTAGATGGAGATGTCTTCCACAGAGATAAGAGAACGTACTCAGAGGACCCAGTTAGTGGGGGAAGGGGCACAAAGACAAATCCAGTCTTGGTTGGTTGAGTTTAAGATCCTTGTCAGTAGCTGGGCACAGTATCTCACGCCTGTAATCCCAGCACTATGGGAAGCTGAGGCAGGAGGATTGCTTGAGCCCAGGAGTTTGAGAATAGCCTGGGCAACATAGTGAGATCCCATCTCTACAAAATTGTTTTTTAAAGTTAGCCAGGCCTGGTGGGGTGGCTCACGCCTGTAATCCCAGCACTTTAGGAGGCTGAGGTGGGTGGATCACGAGGTCAGGAGATCAAGACCATCCTGGCTAACACAATGAAACCCCGTCTCTACTAAAAATACAAAAAATTAGCCGGGCATGGTGGCAGGCGCCTGTAGTCACAGCTACTCAGGAGGCTGAGGCAGGAGAATGGCATGAACCAGGGAGGTGGAGCTTGCAGTGAGCCAAGATCATGCCATTGCACTCCAGCCTGGGTGACAGAGCAAGACACCATCTCAAAAAAAAAAAAAAAAAAAAGGTTAGCTAGGCTTAATGGCATGCACCTGTAGTCCCAGCTACTCAGGAGGCTGAGCTGGGAGGATCATTTGAGCCCAGGAGTTCAAGGCTGCAGTGAGCTATGATTGAGCCACTGTACTCCAGCTTGGGGAACAGAGCAAGACCCTGTCTCAATTAAAAATAAATAATAAAAAAAGATCCCCGGCCGGGCGCCGTGGCTCACGCCTGTAATCCTAGCACTTTGGGAGGCTGAGGTGGGCGGATCACCAGGTCAGGAGATCGAGACCATCCTGGCTAACACAGTGAAACCCCATCTCTACTAAAAATACAAAAAATTAGCCGGTCGTGGTGGCAGACACCTGTAGTCCCAGGTACTCGGGAGGCTGAGGCAGGAGAATGGCGTGAACCCGGGAGGCAGAGCTTGCAGAGAGCCGAGATCGTGCCACTGCACTTTAGCCTGGGAAACAGAGCAAGAGTCCGTCTCAAAAAAAAAAAAAAAAAAAAAAACAAAAAAAAACCCTGTAAGCCATCCAAGTGGAGATGTTTTAGGAACAACTGGAGGTATAAACTTGGAGCTAATTCCAAGTCAAAAATATTGGTATGGATGTCCCCAGCATACAGAAGGTCATAGAAACATGAGAATGGAAGGGATTATTTAAAAAGAGAAGAGACCCTGGGTATAAGCCTGGAAGCAACAACCTTTAAGGAGTAATCAGGAAAAGAGGGGCCCAAAAACAATAGCCGGAGAGGTAGAATTGGACATAGCAAGAGATTGAATCAAGCCAAGAGCAGGGAGAATTTCAAGAAAGAGTAGAATTGTTTCCAGACACCTATAGGCTGTCTGAGAAAAGAGAGAACAAGTGTGTTTTCTGGGACATCCATGGGGAGGACTAGAACCAAAGGGTAGAAAGTCCAGGGAAACAAATTCTGGGTCAATATAAGGAAATATTTTCTAGCAGTCAGAGTTTAGTGTCCACCATGTTAAGTAGAAAGTTCCACGTCACAGGAGATGTATAAACAGAGGCAAAGTCTGCCAGTGGCATTGAGGAGAGTGTCCCTGACCTGGGCAGGTGATTGAACTAGCTGGCGTCTGAGAGCTTTCCTTGCCAATTTCCTAGGAACATTGTCACATAGTCTCTACCCATAACTACACAATGACAGCCTCTTTTATTATAAGAGCCCATTTCCCTTTCTGTCAATGGACACAGGACTCCAAAGAGCACTAGAATGAAGCTCCCTGAGGAGGTTTGGTGGGCAGGCACCCTTGGAAAGTGGGGTCAGGGGCTGGTGCAGGTTTAGAACTGTGAGGAGAATGACTCGGCCAGGGGAAGCCCTGGGGAATGCAGTGCTCTTCAGAGGGCACAGCAAATGCAAAAACTGAAAACCCAGAGCCAGGAAGGAACAAGGCACCTCAGACAACAGAAAGGAGGACAGCAGCTGGGACCACATGAGTGAGGGGGCGGGGGCTGGGAGGTGACAAGGGAAGAGTGGGGAGCAGGGCCAGTGAAGGCAGCTTTGTAGGCCACAGAAGGAGGCGGGTATTTATTCAAAGAGCACTAAGAATCCATTGAATGGTTTCAAATGGGGAAGGGACAGACTGTGAATTTACATTTGTAAGGCTCTCCTGGCTGAGGGCAGAACATGGATTGGGGGTCTAGGGAGGACCCAAATGGGAGCAGCAAGACCTGTGGGGAGCAGGTTTTGTGTTCCCGTGGCCTGCAGGGTAAAGTTTCAATCTCTTAGCCTGGCATTTGAGATGACGCCAACCTTATTTCCCACTAACCTCCTCCTTTACACACAGTGGGCTTCCAACATGTGGAACTGTCTGGTGACCCTAAAATCCCCAAATCCCACTCCTGACCTTTCCCCATCCCTGCCCCTCCACCCCATGAAGCCAGACCATTCTTGAAGGTCCACATCAAAGACACCTCTTCCTTGATGCCCTCCCAGGTCCCACAGTCAGCATTTCTCCCCCAACTGAGAACATCTTGTTACCCTCTGGGTGCCCCACCTTGTTCCATTGGGTGGACTGAGAACAGGTGAACCACGGTAGGTGCCCAGCCTAGTTTAATCTGCACCTGGTTCAGCACCAAGCCCTGGGGGATTCTCAATAAATACTGATTTGATGAATGACTACATTCTCAGTCATCCCCTGCTGGGAATGAACTTTCTTGTGGTCAAAGTAATGATACATGTGTTGTTTAGAAGTGTTCGCTTCCATCCCTATTGATGTGTAATATCTGTTCTAGCATTGCTATAAAGAACTACCTGAGACTAGGTAATTTATAAAGAGATGAGGTTTAATTGACTCACAGTTCCTCAGGCTGTACAGGAAACATGGCTGGGGAGGCCTCAGGAAACTTACAATCATGGCAGAAGGCAAAGACAGGCACATCTTACATAACCCAAGAAGGAGGAAGTGAGAGCAGGGGGAGGTGCTATGCTTTTGAACAACCAGATCTTGTGAGCACTCGCTCTCATGAGAACAGCAAGGGGGACGTCCTCTCCCATGATCCAATCACCTCCCACTAGACCCCTCCTCCAACAATGGGGATTATAATTTAACATGAGATTTGGGCAAGGACACAGATGCAAACCATACCATGATGTTTACTTTTCTTATTTGCTGACTCTGAAAGGAACACATGGGCCTTGTAAAGAGACTTAACAAATGTACTGAATGTCCACTTTGGGCCAGGCTGGGCACCGAGGACACAGGGGAACTAAGACACAGTCCTGGTCACTGGGAAACTCACAGGCTGTTGGGAAAGAAAGATGCAGAAAGTATCTTCATTTCAGAAAAATATGGTAAATGCTTATGATGGGACTAAGTGTGGGGGCTATGGGACCCAGAGGGCCCATGAGAAGGGGAGTGGGAGGGCTTCAAGGGGCCGGGATGCCTGAGCTGAGTCTCAAAGGGTGAGTCAGGGATCAAGAAGTGAAGCAGGGAGGGAGAAGAGCATGTCACAGGGAGGAAACAGCATGGCTTGTGTGTGTTGGTGGGGCAGATCTGTTTGGATACAAACGTAAGGGAAGGCAGAAGGAGCCAGAGAAATCGGAGAGGCTGGTAGGGGTGAGAGGACCAGGTGGGGCCAGGTTAAGGAGCTTGAACTTTACTCTAGAGGCAGTTAGGAGCCATGGACAGGTTTTAAGCAAGGGAGTTTGGGTTTTAGGAGGAAAATGACAGTGACAGTATTTCCAATAAGATTGTTATATCCCTTCTGATTTTTTTAAATTTTTTTGAAAAAGGGTCTCTGTTGCCCAGGCTGGATTACAATGCGGGTAATCTCAGCTCACTGTAGCCTTGACCTCCCAGGCTCAAGTGATCCTCCCACCTCAGCCTCCTGAGGAGCTGCGACTACAGGCGTGCACCACCATGCCCGGCTAGTTTTTAAATTTTTTTGTATAGATGAGGTCTCACTATTTTGCCCAGGCTGGCCTTGAACTCCTGGGCTCAAGCAATCCTCCCACCTCAGCCTCCCAAAGTGCTTGGATTACAGGCATAAGCTACCATGCCTGGCCCCTTCTGATTTTTTAGAACACTTCCAAACTGTTATCTCATTTGATCTTCATAACAACTTCAAGAGGTAGATAGAGCAGAGTTTATATCATTTCAGAAGTAAAATACTTGAGACTCAGCAGGATTGGGTGACAGCCCTGGGTAATATCAAGTAACAGCTAAGAGCCGAGCTCTGGGGCCAGACAAACTGAAGTTCATGTCTCAGCTCTGCTACTAATCAACTGAGTGACCTTGGGCCTCTCTAGGCCTCAATGTCCTTATCTGCAAAATGGGCATAATCATAGTACCAGCATCATAGGTCTGTCCATTTTTCACTCACCAAATATTTACTGAGTTCCCATTATATGTAGACACTGTGGAGGTGTCAGGGCTCCAGTCAGGAACAAGAGAGATAGGGTTACAGTCTTCATGGAGCTCATAGTCTACTAGAAAAAATAAACATGAACCAAATAATTGCACCAGGGGTCTCAAAGGCAAATTGCTGCCCAAACCGAGGACTTAATAAAGAAAATGAGCTGCCTGTGAGACAAAAAGGAATGGGGGAGCCTGTGGCAAGCTGGAGAGGGCAATGCCTCAGCCCAAAGTAGCTCAGATTGAAAAATATCAAGCAAGTTGTCAAACAAAACAAGACCTCAGCCCTCATTCAGCATGAGGGCCACCAGTTTTCAGCCCTTGTTGTACCCAGTCGTGATAAGTGGTCTGAAGGAAAGTGCAGGTTGTGATGCAAAGATGGGACCTGGAGGATAAGGAAGAGTGCCCAGGGTGTGGATGGGGAGGGAGCACTCCTGCTAGAGGGAGGAGCACGTGCCAACCCCTAGTCAGGATGAGGCTTGGACCACTCAGCAAACAGAGAGAAGCCCAGGCATCCAGGACATAGTAAGGGAAGAGAAGCAAGGGATTAGGGGGACAGGTTGACAGAAGAGGGGCCCGGGACTTCATTTTAAGGTTATCAAAAGTCATGGAAGGGCTTCAAAATGAGTGCATGGTGAGTATATACCAATAATAGCAGATATATTATGTACAAAGCAACTCTAATAAATTGACTGATTTTAACATCACTCCCATCCGATAAAATAGGTTACCATCATTATGCCCATTTTACCAATGAGGAGGTTGAGACAGAGAAGTTAGGTGGTTTGCTCAAGATCATGCAGCCAGTAGGTGGCAGGGCCAGGACTCAGACCGAAGAACGTTCTGGCCCCAAAGCCTCTGCTCTTAATACTGTGCTGCCTCAGATGATCACACAAGATCAGACTGGCATCTTTAAAAGTTCATTCTGATTGCCAATGGGAGGTGTTGGGGGCTGGGTATGGAGAAGATGAAATAAGAGAAAGCATATAGAGCCCTTAGCTTGCTGCCTGCTGTTGGGAGCACCCGGTAACATTAGATGAAATTATCCTTACGATTACAGCAAGACAATGATAAAGCCTGGCCTGGGATCCAGGGCCCTGTTGCCCAGCCTGGAGCAAAAGTGTTTTTCCTTCCTGGCTCCTTTCAGTCCTCTTCCAGAGAGAAACTCATCTTTTAACTCTCTTACCCCAAGGACTCTGCCCGTCTAAGACTCCCATCAATGAAAATGCTCCCGTCTTTGATCCTGAACCGGTCATTGCCCACTGCTTCAAGCAGTTCCAGCAGAAGGACTTCCGCCTGCCTCAGACCCGCCGGCGAATCATCATGGTGCCTCGCAAGGAGGATCAGACACCCCTTAATCCTGCATCCCAACCTCAGGCTCCCCCAAAGCCCATCCCCAGCTTCAAAGTTCTGGAAGCTAGAGATATCCAAGAGCAGCCAGAGGACAGGAAGACCTGGCTGAGCCAGAGGTCGAAGCTGCGGCAGGAGCTAGAGTCCTTTGGTGATGTAAAGAGGTGGCTGGAGAACAAGCCCAGCATCACGCCTTCAGAGGCCAAGGTCTTACACATGATCCACGAGGAGCAGAGTGCCCAGCCAAATGCCTCCCAGGCAACTACCAGGACCACCAGGGTGAGCAGCCCCATTTGCCAGATGAAGACACCAAGGGTTTAGGGATGCATCATTATTTTATTCCCTTGGGTTAGGCTGGATAGGGATAGTTCACACCATTTCACAGAGGAGCAAACAGAAGTCTTGAGAGGGAGGTGTATTAGTTGTCTAGTTATCTATTGCTGCATAACAAACACCCCCAAATGACTGAAAGCAACAAATATTTATGATCACACACCGTTTCTAGAGTCAGAAATCAGGGAGTAGCTTTGCTGGGTCGCTCTGGCTCAGAGTCTCTCATGAGGTTGCAGTCAGGATGTTGGCCTGGGCCACAGTCATCTGAAGGCTTGACTGGGGCAAAAGGATCTGCTTCCAAGCTGGCTCACCCATGTGGCTATTGGCAGGAGGCCTCAGTTCCTCCCCACATGGACCTCTCCATAGGGCTGCTTAAGTGTCCTCACAGTATGTCTGCTGGCATCCCCCAGAGTGAAGGGTCCAAAAAAGAGAGCAAGACAGAGGCTGCCCTTTCAGACCTAGCTTCTGAAGGCCTCAGTTTCAGAAGTTCCACACTATCACTTCCACCACATTCTCTTTGTCAGAAGTGAGTCCCTGAGTACTACCCATGCTCAAGAAGGAAAGAAGACTCCATCTTAGAAAGGAGGGAAGCAGAAGAGTTTGTGGACATACCTTAAAATCACCCCAAAAGGGATCATCCTGGCAGTCCATCTTATGGGGTATTTAAAATACCCATTGTTCATTCATTTGTTCATTGACACAAGTTTGCTGAGGGTTCCATGTAGCAAGCTATTGTGAGGATGACGATTGTGAGGTTGGGAGGAAAAGGAGGATCCCCCTTTTACAAATGTGGAAATAGAAGCTCAGTGAGGCCAACATTTATCCAAACATATAGTGATAGTAAGTGATAAGGGTACTACCAACTCATTCTCTCTCTGTGACATTTCCTTGGGATAAGAAGACAGATAAGTTGGGTTTAAACATAGCTCTGCTACTTCCTAGCTGTACCATTTGGGTCTCAGTTTTCTCATCTATAAAATGGAGACAACCATTGTTCCTACCTCCTGGGGTCGCTATGATGTCTAAATGCATTCATTTATATAAGGTGCCTAGGACGCTATTGGGCACATAGTGAGCACTCAAACATGATTTCCATCTGTATTATTATTGTAATCTCACAAGTGTCCATTGGGTTGGTTGGCCCGGAAACTTCAGGGTCAGTCCTTGCTGTTATTATAGCCCAAATCCTAATTTCATGGGTCTAACACACCCTCTTCTGCCAGCAGCATAGTGTCTAAGAATAAGAACTAGACTTGGGTTAGAAATGCAGCTGTACTGCTTACCTGCTGTGTGGCATTGGGAAAACCTTTCACATCTCTGAGCCTGATTCCTTATTGTGAATTAGGTAGTACCTCATACCTAATTCATAGGATCATTTATTCCTTCAGCAAACAATTACTGCCTGTCTTCCTACGGCCTGGGCTTTGTTCAGTATAAAGGTGGGAGATGGGGATACACTGTAAATAAGACACGGTCTTACTTCCAGGGTGTCTTAGCCTGGCCTCTCTTGCTGTCACAGAAGACATGATGCTGGGTAATTTATAAAGAAAAGAGAGTTTTTTTTGGCTCACAGTCCTGGAGGCTGAAAGTCCTCATGAGGTTGCAGTCAGGATGTTGGCCTGGGCCACAGTCATCTGAAGGCTTGACTGGTTGGCCTCTAGGGAGGGCCTCGTGCTGCATCCTAACACAGTGGAAGGCATCTCAGGGTGAGGGGGTGCACGAGAGGGAGCCAAACTGGCTTTTCTAGCTGATCCCATTCATGATAACGAGCCCTCTTCCATGATAACCAATTAATCCTTAGCCCATTAATCCATTAATCCATAAATGAATTAATGGATTCATAAGAGCAGACACCTCATGACCCAATCACCTCTTAAAGGCCCCACCTGTTAATACCATTATGTTGATAACAGTATTAAGTTGCTTCTGACCCAGCCCATCTGTGGATCATCAAAAGATGCTGCATTTCCAACGAACTCCTGGTGATGCCTGTGGTAGTGGTCCACGGGACCACACTTTTACTTTTGCTAGCTATTTAATAATGTAAATTAATTATAAATTTAAAAATGGAGTCCTTCAATCACACCAGCCACATTTTGAGTGCTCAATAGTCACATGTGCCAAGTGGCTTAACAAAAGTCATGTTCAGTTTAAACATGTATTTTGGAGGGGACAAACATTAAGCCATAGCACAAGGTGTTCACATGTTAGTGGGAGAGGCAGACACATAGGATTAATGGCTCTACAGTTTGCTACAGGCCATTAATAGAGGTGGGTCTCTATTATAATAAGCACCCTGGGAGGAGCACAGAGGAACAATACCCTAGGGAATGGGAAGGCCCTTTGTAAACTGCCCAGTGCTGCACCAAGGTAGAAGATTATCATCCATTACAAAATATGCCCTTTCACTTGGAATTGGAGAAGGAGGATTTGGACAGATAGAGAAAGAGAGAAAAGTCTTCCAGGCAGGAGGCCTATAGCAGATGCAAAGGCTGGGGGCGGGGATGGGGAGTCTCCACCTGGCTCCAGGGAAGGGTATAGGTTTTGGTGCACTGAGAGACCAGACCAGTGGGATTACGCATACTGACTGGTTTGACAGGAGAGATGTGGATAAGAATGAAATTTTAGTTCCTATATTGCCCAAGCCTTGTGTTTTTCAGATGAGAAAACCAAGGCTCAGAGAAGCAAAGTCTCCCAGGCATTTTGTGGCCAAACACAGTTGCCCTGAACCCAGTGCCCTTTGTACTCTATCCTGCTATTTAGAGCTGCTCGTCCTCTCCTTAGTCCCTAACTCTGGGGACTGCATCCGCCTGGCCTGTCTCCTTTGAACTCTCTCCTCTGCCCTACCCTCTCACCTCTTCCAGAAGAAAGCCCCCAGGCTCTCCCGGCTGTCCCGCCAGATGGTGCCCCAGCTCCAGCTGCCCGAGCCCCCTGCCCTGTCGGTCATGTACTCCTACCTGCATAGCCGCAAGATCAAGATCCTGGAGATATTTCACAAGGTGGGCCAGGGTGAGAACCAGAGAATCACCAGGGAGGAGTTCATCGCGGCTGTAAAGGCAGTAAGTGCCACCTGCTTTCTCTGGATGGGCCTAAGTGGGCAGGATGTACATGTACTCCCTCTTTGCCACCCCCGCCCCTCCCCCGCCATGCTGGGTTCTGGTTCAACTGAGAAGTAGACACAAGGAGTGCAAACTGTCAGCCTTATTACTTATTAAGGCTAGAAAATATGGATTAACTTGTGGCCAAATCAGATCCTCAATATCTGCCCCGCACCAGTCTGACCTTGAAAACCCCCACCTGAGTGGAAAGTCTGTGGAGTCCACCTCATAACCAGCCAGCTACCTTGGAGAATCCCTGTCTTGCACAGCAGACCCCAAAACTAAGATCAGAGAAAGCTGGTAGAGTGTCTCCAACTGTCACTGGCATATAAGTTACATGGGTGTCCTGTCGAAATGCAGCTTCTGACCCAGCACATCTGTGGGTCATCAAAAGATGCTGTATTTCTAACGAGCTCCTGGTGATGCCTGTAGTACTGGTCTATGGACCACACTTTTACTTTCACTGGCTATTTATTAATTTAAATCAATTATAAATTTAAAAATCCAGTCTTTCAATCACACCAGCCACATATTTTGAGTGCTCAGTAGTCACATGTGGCAAGTAGCTCCTCTACTGGACTGCACAGATGTGGAACATTTCCATCATCATGGAAAGTTGTATCGGCCTAGCAGAGGTCTGCAAACTGTGGCTCAAGAGACAAGTCCAGCCTGCTTCCTGTTTTTTAAATAGAGTTTTATTGGAACACAGCCACACTCATTCATCCTTGAATTGTCTATGGCTGCTTTCATGCTACAATGGCAGAGTTGAGCAGTATGACACAGACCATATGGCTAGCCAAACCTAAAATATTTACTATCTGAGGTTTTTTGTTTTTAGTTTTTTTTTTTTTTGGTTTTGGGTTTTTTTTTTTTGGTTTTTTTTTTTTTTTTGAGGCAGAGTCTCACTCTGTCACCAGGCTGGAGTGCGGTGGTGCGATCTTGGCTCACTGCAACCTCCGCCTCCCAGGTTCAAGCAATTTTCCTGCCTCAGACTCCCGAGTAGTTGGGACTATAGGCGTGCACCACCACGCCCGGCTAATTTTTGTATTTTTAGTAGAGAAGGGGTTTCACCATGTTGGCCAGGATGGTCTTGATCTCTTGACCTTGTGATCCACCTGCCTCAGCCTCCCAAAGTGCTGGGATTACAGGCATGAGCCACTGCGCCTGGCCTTATCTGACTTTTTATAGAAAAAGCTTGCTAACTTGCTAACCCTAGTCTAGATGAATTACGTTTTTATACATTTTGAATGCAAGATACTTTACCCTAGCATGCTGGCTCATGCCTGTAATCCCCCAACACTTTGGAAGGCCAAAGTGAGAAGACTGCTTGAGGCCAAGAGCTTGAGATCAGCCTGGGTAACACAGTGAGACCCCCATCTCTACAAAAAATTAAAAAACTTATCCCAGTGTGGTGGTACACACCTGTCGTCCCAGCTACATGGGAGGGTCAGATGGGAGGATCACTTGAGCCCGGGAGTTAGAGGCTGCAGTGAGCTATGATCACACCACTACACTCCAGCCTGGGTGACAGAGCAAGATCTCAACTTAAAAGAAACCCAAACAACGACAACAAATACCTTAAACAACTTTAGGGAGTTGACTGTGATGTCTTTCGTGGTTTTAAATTATTATCAGTTTTCTCACACATGTTTTATGACATGTAATTATCTCAACAACATTTCAAAGCATTTAAAGATAATAGTCTTTAATCTCCATAACCAAAAGTTTAAATATTACATTCTTTAGCACCAGGAGAGTTCATTTTTTTGTTTGTTTGTTTGTTTGTTTGTTTGTTTTGAGACGGAGCTTCGTTCTTGTCACCCAGGCTGCAGTGCAATGGCACAGTCTTGGGTCACTGCAACCTCCCTCTCCCTGGTTCAAGGGATTCTCCTGCCTCAGCCTCCTGGGTGCTGGGATTACAGGCATGTGTCCCCATGCCTGGCTAATTTTGTGTTTTTAGTAGAGATGGGGCTTCACCATGCTGGCCAGTCTGGTCTCGAACTCCTGGCCTCAGGCATTCCACCCACCTGGGCCTCCTAAAGTGCTGGGTTTACAAACGTGAGGCACAACGTCCAGCCAGCACCAGGAGAGTTCTGATCTTACTTAGCTCTGATCAAGTTAGTTCTGATCAAGGCTAGGCACAGTGGCTCATGTCTGTTTACCCAGCACTTTGGGAGGCCGAACCAGGCGGATCACTTGAGGCCAGGAGTTTGAGTAAAGTTCAGTGAACAATGACTATTGTCTAAAGAAACTGAAGAACAAAATCATATTTCCTTTAAAACTTTTCTTCTTGAATATCCAATGTTGCTGGCAAGCATTATACACCTCCAGAGTTGCTCATCGTCCTTAAAAGAATGAGGAGTATAGTATTCTTGATCCCATTTTCCAGGAATTAAGGGAGATTTATGTGTTACTTGTGTATAGGGATGATCCACATGTGAAATCATGCTTCGTATCCAGCATGGTAGATGCTGCCATTGAGACTGGTAGGAAGTGGGGTGGGACCCTAGAGGAAGAAGAAACCCACTCTATAAAGATGGTGACATCTGGACTGGACTTTGAAGGAGGGATAGGAGTTTTTCAGGCAGAGAAGGGGAACTGCCTGAGCAAAGGCAAAGGTAACAAAGTGCAGAGTTCATTCAAGGACCGGGAAAGGGCTCTGAGCTGCAGCAGGGACCTTGGGTATAGTAGGGAGTGGTTGAGGATGAAACTGGAAGCAGGATGGGGGTCTGAGGAGGCTGGTAAGGCCTTGGCCATCAGAGCAGGATGTTTGGATGGGAGCCTGCTAGTCTGAAGGTCTTCTCTCTCCTCAGGTCGGAGTCCCTCTGAAGAACCAAGAGGTGGAGGATATAGTGATCTACCTCAGCTCTCTTGGGAAGCACAACACCATCACCATGGATATCCTGGCCAATACCTACAAGCAGTGGTCTATGGCTCAGCAAAGGAGCAGCCTGGCCACTGCAAGGGAGCGTGCGTACCCCTCCCCATCCTGTGCCTCCACCTCCCCGTCCTGGGAGCAAGCATGGTGCAGGCAGCCTTGGCCTCTCCTCCAAACTCACTTCCTCAGTGTGTTCCCCAGTTTTGGCCGACTGTGGTTTGGCCAAGCCTCTGGAAATTTTCAGGCCCAGAGATTAACTAAGGAGTAGATATTCCCTTGAGTGCCCAGCTACCACTGTGTCCATTCAAAGACAAATGAGTCCCAGCCCTTGTTCTTAGAGGAGGATACTCAGCCCACCAGAGCCCACCTGAGAGGCTGAGAACTGACCCAAATGGCAAGCCTTTCCAGAGACATTTATGTGTGTGTGGGTCCAAGGCCTCCTCACTATTAATCCATAGCTTATTGATAAAATTCTTGTTCAGAACCAGAATTAGCACATGTTTACAGTTTACTGGAAAGTGTATTTTGGTATTCTGCTATCAGGGGTATTATGGCAGGGTTGCTGTCAACAGTTGTAAAGGTTGTACATGGCTCAAGTTCCATCTGCCAAGCAATACATTTGTGGGGCCACATCTGTCCAGACAAGGCACAGAGGCAAATTAGAAATGGACTTGCTAAAGCTCTGGCTGTGAATTTACTCTACAACACAAAGGTGCATTGTATAATATTTCTTTATATCTTAGTACCATTCTTGTAGTAAACAAACAAACAAAAAAGAACCATTACAACCACCCACCCATTCTAGCACCCTTCCCAAACATAGCCACAGCTTTGTTTTTCTAAATGAAACAAATCTTGCTCTGTTCCCATCTACCAGGTTGGCAGGAACTTAATCTCATGCATGTTTGGGGCTTCCTTGTCCTCCCTGAGTCACACAGGAGCCCTGGAGGAGGCAGTGGAGGGGTTTCCTAACAATGGTAAAGATCTGGGGTGAGGCCGTTGGAGTTTACAGTCACACCAAGAGGAGTTACTCAGCATCCTCACTGGAGTGGCTCATTTGGGGACAGCAGGCAGCTCAGAGCATCCATTCCTCAGTCCTCCAGGAGATTTTCAATGTCCAGTCTCAACCAGCTGCCCTGCAGAGAAACTATCACCTCCCAAGCAGGGTCTCTGCCTCTCTCAGAGCTCAGGGAAGCTCAGCACCCCAACAGTCGCTCCTGCATGTGTCACCACCCCAACAGTAGTAATCTCCTTTATGTCCAGCACATTTTTAAGGTCACCTCAAGTTGGGCTGCTTTCCCTCTGATACTCTTTGTGCCTTTTTGTTATAAATTACCAAGCTTATCATTATCTGTGTAGCTGGCTGTGAGTCATTTCAATGACCACAGTGTGCTGTGATGCATATTCGCAGCAGAGATATTTTGGGTCCTGTTATTTCCCAGTAAGTAAACACAAAGCCAAGCAGCAGACCTTTGCTCTCATGGTGCTACTTTGGCGTCATCACTGAGTTCTTTTTCCCTGGTGAGCAATAGTGGGTAAGATAGGTAGACTGGGGTGTGTAAGAATTAAAGAAAGAGGAAAGAAACAGGAAAGGTGGCTCAATAGTCAAAGACAGGTTTATTTTAGAGAAAACAAACCTGAGAGGGGCTGCTGGCTGAGTTAGGTCAGAGCCACATTCTCTTACAGACTAAGAGTTTTTAAGGATTCACAGTGGAAGAGTTTATCAGAGGCTTGGACTGCTTCTCTGTCTCTTTGTTGTGTTTATCTGGGAGGCAGAGTTGCGTGTCTGTTTCCATACATCTTTCTGCAGCTGCAGGCATATCCCCCAAGTCTGCTTTTAGCTTCCCTATCTTAGTGCACCTGAAGGGAAAGGAATGTGCTTATTAAGGCCCACAGTTTTACTGGGGCCCATTGTATGAGGGTGAAGTTTGGCAGTCACCCAAGAGACTTTCCCCCGACCTCCCTCTGTGCCTGAGCTGTCTTGTCTGTGTTTTACTGTCTGCTCTTTCTGGCTGCTTATAGTTAGAAGAGAAGTGATTTCCTTGAAATGCATGAGGCTAGAAAGGGAGCTGGAACTTAAAGTGGCGGTGTTTGTCCCAGATGACGGTGCTCCTGCTCTGTCCGGGTGTCTCTCACTTTGTCTAAAGAGGCAAGAGTTTGAGCGTCTTGGCAGGGGTGCCTTCTTCCAGTAGTTCTTCTTGCAGTAGCTCTTCTTCATTCTTGCAGAATGATCTCAGTTTATCCTTTATGTCCGCAGAGGTCAGGATTGCTATTCCTGCTTTACGAGGAGGAAGCTGGAGCTCAGAGAGGCTGAGCCACTTGTTCACAGCCTCAATAGAAGGTGGTAAGGTCAGGATATTATTTCAGCTTGAGACGATGAAGGTCTGAACCAGGGCAGGGACAATGGGATTCTTTCATTCATTGGAATCTTTGTTGAGCAACTACTATGTGCCACTTCTAGAAACTGGGAACACAGCAGTGGGCCAGCCAAAGCCCCAGCTTTCGATGAGCTTGCACCTAAAGGGCTGGTGGTCAGGGACGGCCTCTCTGAGAAGCAGACATTGGAGCTGACATCTGAGTGATTGACAGGAACTAGTCTTGGGGGAAGCACAATCTAGGCAGATAGAACTGTGAAGGCAAAGGCCCTGGGGTAGGATAGCTTGCAAGAGACAGAAGGTGGTCAGGGTGGCTGGGTGGAATGGGTGAAGGGTGAATGGTATGCCATGGACCAGGTGGGAAGGCAGCTGAGGCCAGATGGTACAGCAGGGCCTTGTAGCCCAGGGAGAGGACTCTGGGTTTTGGTCTAAATGCTGTGGGAAGCCAAGGGAATGAGGCGATCTGGTCGGTCGGTCAGTCTGTCTATCTATCTATCTATCTATCTATCTATCTATCTATCTATCTATCTATCCATCCATCTACACATATCCAACATAAGGAGACTCATGCAATGGGGTCTCCTTATGTTGCCTAGGCTGGAGTGAAGTGGCTATTCACAGGTGTGATCATAGCTTACTGCAGCCTCAAATTCCTGGGCATAAGCAATCCTCCCACTTCAGCTTCCTGAGTAGCTAGAACCACAGGCGTGCCACTGCACCCTGCTTTATATATGTGTATATATATTTTTGGGGGGGGATGGAGTCTTGCTCTGCCATCCAGGTTTGAGTGCAGTGGTGTGATCTCTTCTCACTGCAACCTCCACCTCCCGGGTTCAAGCAATTCTCCTGTCTCAGCCTCCCAAGTAACTACTACAGGTGCACACCACTGCACCCGGCTAATTTTTGTATTTTTAGTAGAGATGGGGTTTCACCATATTGGTCAGGCTGGTCTTGAACTACTGACCTCAGCTGATCCACTCGCCTCAGCCTCCCAAAGTACCCTGCTCTATATTTTTTGTTTGTTTGTTTTTGAGAGGGAGTCTCACCGTGTCACCCAGGCTGGAGTGCAGTGGCACGATCTCGGCTCACTGCAACCTCCAGGTCCCAGGTTAAAGCAATTCTGCCTCAGCCTCCCGAATAGCTGGGACTACAGGCACGTGCCACCATGCCCGGCTAATTTTTTGTATTTTTAGTAGAGACGGGGTTTCACAGTGTTAGCCAGGATGGTCTCGATCTCCTGACTTCATGATCCGCCCTCCTCGGCCTCCCAAAGTGCTGGGATTACTGGCGTGAGCCACCGCGCCTGGCTATACTCTATATTTTTTAAAGATCCTATTTGCTGCTTGGTGAGACAGGGTGACAGGACGAGAATGGCAACCAGAGGGCTGGGGTTGGTGCAGTAAGGGACGCCATTAGTGGAGATGGAGAGGAGGGCCACATCTAAGGTACAGCTTAGGTGGCTTAGGTGGGCACTGCCCAGACGTGTGGGAAGGGAGCGGAGGGGTGGCCTGGTGCCTGCTGGGTGACACTGGATAACTGCTTGGCAGGTTCCGTGGCTGGGCACCCTCTTAGTCCCTCCTTCCTTCATCTCTTCCCTCTGACTCCAGATTATATCTTGGCCAAGCACAGAGATTCCCTGAAGGGTCCGCTCAAGAAGCAGGAGGTGGATTCAGCCCCACAGCTTCCCAAAGTGGACCTACTGACGGTGCCTGCAGTCGACACGCAGATGGAGACGCGGCCCATGACCCTGGAGGAGATGGAGGAAGTGGGCAAGCGGTACCGCGAGCGGCAGCGACAGCACAAGGTACCTCGCCAGCCCAAGGAGAGCATGCGGCTTGGGGACTGGAGCAGCTGGGGTTCAGATCACCGCAGCAGCACCACCCGCTGGCTGCAGAACCCTGGGGAGGGGGGTCTTCGCCTCTACAACCACCCCTTCTTCACGTCCCTCATCTGTAAAATAAGAACAATACCTGCCTCCTGAGGTTTTTGTAAAATGTAGTAAGATCCTGTTTCTGAAACTATCACGTCCCCCTCTCCCTATTCTTTAATTATGACTTTTCATCCTTAGACCAGGCCTGCATTTTCATCACAGCTGGAATCCAGGCACCTGGCACAGGGCCTGACACTGGGTAGACTCTCCAGAAATACATGGCAAGTGAAGGAAGGATTGATTGCATGAATTAGCTTGTCCAGTAAACATTTATTGAGAGCCTACCATGTGCCAGGCACTCTTCCGGGTGTTATAGTAAGCATAACAGTCCCTGCCCCTAGGAAGCTGACAGTCTGGTAAGGGAGGCAGACAACATCAATACAATACTACATATAAATATTCATATATAATATAGTCTGGGAGTGGTGTCTCGCACCTGTTAGCCCAGCGCTTTGAGAGGCCAAGGTAGGAGGACTGCTTAAGCCCAGGAGTTCGAGGCCATCCTAGGCAACATAGGGAGATCCTGTCTCTACAAAAAATTTAGAAAGTTAGCCTGGGGTGATGGCATGTGCCTGTGGTCCCAGCTACTCAGGAGGCTGAGGTGAGAGGACTGCCTGAGCCCAGGAGGTTGAGACTGAAGTGAGCTAAGATCGCACCACTGGACTCCAGCCGAGGGGAAAGAGCAAGATCTTGTCTCAAAAAAAAAAAAAAAATTATATACAGGCCAGGTGCAGTGGCTCATGCCTGTAATCCTAGCAATTTGGGAGGCCAAAGTAGGAGGATCACTTGAGGCCAGGAGTTTGAGACCAGCCTGGGCAACACAGCAAGGCCCCGTCTCTACACAAAATTTTTAAAAAATTAGCCAGCATGGTGGCATGTGCCTGTGGCTGCACCTACTGAAGAGGCTGAGGCCAGAAGATGGCTTGAACCTGGGAGGCCAAGGCTGCAGTGAGCTATTACTGCACAGTACACCCCAGCCCAGGCTACAGAGTGAGACCGTGTCTCTAAAAAAAAAAATAAATAAATAAACACAAATATATATATAATTAAAAATACATATTTGTATTTATACCTATAATATTTGTATTTGTACATATAATAAAATGGCAGATATTGCTAAGTGCTATATCTACTAAGATTTGATTCAGTTGCATGACAAGAAAACCCAAAATGTTTGAGCAGGGACCAGCAAAGTTCCCCTGTAAAGGGCCAGATAGTAAACATTTTAGGCCTGGTGAGCCATGTCTTGTCTGTCGCAACTACTCAGCTCTGTGTTGCAGCAGGAAAGCAGCCACAGACAGCACCTTAACAAATGAGTGTGGCTGTGCTCCAACAAAACTTTATAAAAACAGCTGGTGGGCCAGATTTGGCTCATGGGCTGGTCTTTGCTGATTCTGGTTTTAGAAGCTTTAAAAGTTAGGGTTTTTTTTTCCTTGTTAAAAAACAAGGTGGTGGCAGCCAACAAAAGCAGCTACCTGCTCCGCCAGCCTCCTCCTATCTTAGCTCATGGCTTTCACCTCAAGGTCACAGATGGCTACTCCTAATTTAAATGTCACTTTTCTTTTCTTCTCTTCTTTTCTTTTCTTTTTTTGAGACAGTCTCACTCTACTGCCCAGGCTGGAGTGCAGTGGCTTGATCTTGGCTCACTGCAGCCTCAACTTCCCGGACTCAAGCCATCATTCCACCTCAGCCTCCTGAGAAGCTGGGACTACAGGCGCGCGCCACCATGCCCAGCTAATTTTTTTGTAGAGACAGAGTTTTGCCATGTTGCCCAGGCTGATCTCGGACTCCTGGGCTCAAGTTATCCTCCTGCCTCGGCCTCCCGAAGTGCTGGGATGACAGGTGTGAGCCATCTTGTGGCCCCGCGAATGTCCTTTTTCAATAGGACGCCTCTAGGGCATGTGTACTGTGTTTTACCATATATGTTACACAGTCATGTGTGCACTCCTGCACACCCGTCTACAGGGCTGTGACTTCAGAACCTGAGCTTCTGAACCTGAAGTCTTCACTGACTTCAGAACCGGAACTGCAGCCCCACTGGACGTTGGTTGCCATCACCCCTCATGGGGACCTCGCAGGGGAGAGGTCGATGAGGCACTGCATCTTCCTTCTTCTGGCCAGGAGGAGGGACACAGGCGAGAGAAGGGCGAGCCCCTTTCTGCTTCCTTCGCAGCTCACGATCCCCTCCATCCAGTACACGGAGCAATGTCACCTGGTGCGCTGTGGGAATCGGCACTTTGATGAGCACTGCCTCCCGTCCACCATCCACGGGGATATGAGGGAGCTCATTGACTCGGCCCGCAGGCACAACTTTCTGGTCTACCTGCAATGCTGGAAGCTCTGTAAGTCCTATGGCCTCCCGCTGACAGAGGACATCCTCATGAAAGGTAAGGGCCTCGGTAGCTGGCCCTAGGAAGATGCCAAGGGAACCCCAGAGCTGGGGTGAGGGTGATGCCACCCAGGGCACCCATGCAGCCATTCAAGCCACTGTAATCTCTGGTGGGGACATTGGGAATAAGGCGGAGTGGGGGCGTGGAGGAGAAGAGGAGGAGCCCAGTCTGTTTTGCTGCTAGATGGGATTTCTAGAACACAAGACCCGGAGGTCTGGGTTCCACAACTGAGATTTGGGGGTCTGGATTCTGGAACCCTGAGCTTGGTGAACCAAAAGCTCATTCTAGAGTAGAAAGCTCCAAGGACAGGAGTTCCAAGTGAGAAAGCCCTGAGGTTGAACATAAAGGAAGAGTTGCAATATTGAAGAGGGATATTTGATAGAAATGATAACTGCTATCAAAACAAAGCCTTTCTCTAGGCCAGGCTGTTGCCTGGTTCTTCTGCAACAAGCAGTGGGGTATGAAAGCACGTGGAGACAGGACCTGCTAAAGCCCTTTGAGCAGAGAGCACTCAGACTCAGCCCTGAGATTTCCACACTGCTTCTTCCCTCTGCTTGGGTGGAAAACACGTTTTCATACATCCAAGCTGGTCTGAGCCCACTGTGTCTCTGCGGGGTGAGCACTTCTAATATGTGGGAGCGGAGAAGGGCCCAGCCCCGAGATGACAATTTAGCAATGCCTGCATTCCAAACTTGTGAATTGGTGAATGTATAAATTTGTTTTGTTTTGAAATGGAGTCTCACTCTGTCGCCCAGGCTAGAGTGTAGTAGTGCGATTGCGGCTCACTGCAAGCTCCGCCTCCCAGGTTCAAGCAATTCTCCTGCCTTGGCCTCCTGAGTAGCTGGGACTAAAGGTGCGCACCACCATGCACAGCTAATTTTTGTATTTTTAGTAGAGATGGGGTTTCACCATGTTGGCCAGGCCGGTCTTGAACTCCTGACCTCAGGTGATCCACCTGCCTTGGCCTCCCAAAGTGCTGGGATGACAGGCATGAGCCACCGCACCCGGCCTGGTGAATGTATAAATTTAATGGGCAGGATCTTCTCTGTGCTTTAAAAACATGAAGGAGCAAGCTGCACTTGGGGGCAGAGGTTTTCTCCTAGGAACCTCTGCCTAGGAAGGAACTTTGGCCATACTGGGAAATGTAGCTTTCTGAGAAAGGAACACGTCACACAGGCAGTGGTGTGACTTACGTGAGAACTAGACTTTACAGTCACAATTGATTATTACCATCTTTTTCCCAAGAGGGAGGGAAACAAGCGCTAAATTTATAGGGCCCTGGGTCTTCTTAGATTAGTTTGCTAGGGCTCCTATAACAAAATACCAGTCTGTGGACTGCGCGGCTTCCACAACAAGAATTTATTTTTCACCGTTCTGGAGGCTGGAGGTCCCAGATCAAGATGCCAGCAGGGCTGGTTTCCAAGGCCTCTCTCCTTGGCTGGCAGATGGCTGCCTCCTTGCTGCCTCCACACAGTTTTTTCTCTGCACATGCACACCTGTTGTCTCTCTTGTGTGTCCACATTTTCTCTTATAAGGACACCAGTCAAATTGGATTAGCACCCACCCATGGACAACCTCGTTTTAGCTTGATCATCTCCTTCAAGACTTTATCTCCAGGCTGGGCACAGTGGTTCACCCCAGTAATCCCAGTACTTTGGGAGGCCAAGGCAGGAGGATAGCTTGATCCCAGGAGTTCAAGGCTGTGGTGAGCTATGATCATACCACTGTACTCCAGCCTGAGTGACAGAGCGAGACCCTGTCAAAAAAAAAAAAAACCCACCAAAATCTCCAAATGAAGTCACAACCTTTTTTATCTCCCCCCTCCAACGGTCACATTCTAGCAGCGTGAAGTGGCTCATGCCTATAATCCCAGCACTTTGGGAGGCCGAGGTGGGTGGATTGCTTGAACCCAGGAGTTCGAGAACAGCCTGGGCAACATGGCAAAACCCCATCTCTACAAAAAATACAAACATTCATCAGGCATAGTGGCATGTGCCTGTAATCTCAGCTACTCAGGAGGCTGAGGTAGGAGGATCACTTGAGCCTGGGAGGTCGAAGTTGCAGCTAGCCGAGATTGCACCACTGCACTCCAGCCTAGGTGACAGAGCAAGACCCTTTCTCTCTCGCTCTCTGTCTCTCTCTCATACACACACACGTGCACACACACATCACATTCTAAGGTACTAAGGATTAGAATTACAACATAAGAATTTCGGGGAGACACAATTTGGCCCATCACAAGTGTATACAGGGGAATGTGGTCAGAGGCTGTCAGGAACACAGGCAAGCAACTTCAGTGGTCATTGTCTCCCACATGTGCTACCTGGGTTGGGAGGGCAGAGACAGAAGGAGATCCTATAGCTCTGGATGCTGACTTTTCACCAAAACATCCCTCCTTCTTCCTTCCTTGGGGAACCTCACCTTTCCGGATTATTTACACCATGGTCTTACGCAGTGGTGGAGCTGCAGCTCTGTCTTCTCAAATGCAGCCAGCTTGCCATGTGCCCTGGACTGCTCCTCTGGGTTAGGTCTTCCCCTCTGTGCTTCTTTGTCTGTCCCCACCAGAATATCGAGCCACTTTTTTTTTTTTTTTAAGAGATGGGGTCTTGCTTTGTTGCCCAGGCTGATCTCGAACTCCTGGGCTCAAGCGATCGTCCCACTTCAGCTTCCCAAAGTACTGGGATTACAGGCGTGAGCCACTGCATCCACCCCTGGCTTCTGCTAGCTGCTGGGTTCCTACATGAGTGAGCTTCACCTGTCTGCAGGATCTCACGTTCATGGGCACACAGGAGCATCCTGTGGGTGGGACTAGGCCCAAATCCATCTCTGACCACTGTCTTGGCCACTTGCTATTCGGTATCTTTATGACAGAGGCCTGATCTCCTATAAGCAGAGAGGCTCAAATATCAGGACTTCCAGCTCTGTGTTCTAGACTAGACCTTGGTGGCTCAGACTCCAGGCTTCAAGCTCAGGAGCCAGAATTCTAAACAAGGTCTCCCCCTCCCCTGTGAATATAGCTTTATTGGCTTTCCACCCTGGTTTTGGCGATAATACTTGCTCATTTGAATTTTTTGAAAACATAAAAATCAAAATTCCCCAGCCTGAGTTGGCTGTTGTGAATATTTTAGTGACCATCCTTTCACAAATCTCTTTTCCTTTTCCATTTACAGAAAATTATTTATATAACTCATTGTTAAATCACACTTTAAAAAATCATGTGTACCTTTTGAAAATATTAATGTTACATATCTCCCCCTTCCCTCTCCTTCCTTCTCACCTCCACAGCCCCTTCCCAACCCCCAAATAACCAACATTAACTCGCTGGAGCGTAACTTCCATCACTTTTTCTAGAACATGAGCTTTCATGTGTTACCAGCTTAAGACAAGCACTGCTTGATAGTTGCAGAAGGTGGAGACCCTGGCTCAGTATTTTTTTTATATTCAGCACATCTGAGAAAACTCTCCCAAGGATCTCCATGAGATTAATTCAAGACAAGGAGAAAACTGCCACCAAACAAATCCAAGTGGGCTGGGCGCAGTGGCTCATGCCTGTAATCCCAGCAGTTTGGGAGGCCGGGGTAGGTAGGATGGCTTGAGCCCAGGAGTTCCAGACCAGCCTGGGTATCATAACAAGAACCCATCTCTACTAAAAATTTAAGAAATCAGCCAGGCATGGTGGTGCATGCCTGTGGCCCTAGCTACTTAGGAGGCTAAGGTAGGAGGGTCGCTTAAGCCCAGGAAGTTGAGGCTGCAGTGAGCCATGATCTGTACTTTAGCCTGGGCGACAGTGTGAGACCTTGCTCAGAAAAACAAAACAAAACCGAAAATTGGTCTAAGTTAACCTCATCAAGTCTTGGTCAAATCCTCCTGCCTCCTGGGACAGCTCAGACCTCGTTGCACCGGGGCCTTGGGGGCTTTGTTGTCCTTGTTATGAACAAACCCCCCTCATCTGTAGTCCCCTGAGCCATATTGTCCCAAGGCCCCTTTCCTGGCATCACACTACAGCTATATGCATGTCACCACTGGGACAGTGGTTCAAGGGACCCCTCTGCAGTATTTTTGCAACTTCCAGTGAATCTACAACTATTCAACAATAAAAAGTTACTATATAGATAAGAAGAAAACGTCTTAAAAATGTGAATTAAAAAAAAAAAAAACACCTCCTCTGACCCCAGAGGCTTAGGGAGGGATGGGCAGTCTGGGTTGATGGGTGCAGATGTTTCTCTTGCTGTCCACAGCCTTGCTGTACCCAGGAGACAAGATCATTTTCCAGATGGACAAAGTGTGCCCCATCCGGCAGCCGGGAGGCTACTACTCTGACTGGAAGGTCTTTTCTCCGAATCTGGCTCTGCTCCGGTCCCAGGGCCCTGGCAAGTCTAAGAGGACTGACAAGCTGAGTTTCGGACCCCCTTTCTCCCTGCCTTGGCCTCCTGCTCCATTGCTATCCCTTCAGTGTGGGGGCTGGAGGCTGGAGTACCTGGGGCGCCATGCTGTGCTTGCGTCTGCATCCTAGGGCAACATCCCCCAACCTGACTGCTCACTGCAGACTGGCCAGTCCCGGGTCACCCTTGGCGCATGTCTCAGGATCATGGCCTGCTGGCCTCAGCTCCCACACAGCTACCCTCCTGACCCCAGTCCTGCACAATCATAAGGTTTCTGGAAAAGATGAAAAGGAGAGCCTCCTTAGAGAACAGGGCTGGAGCGAGGGCCTTCACAAATCCCCAGCCAGGTGTCAGGGCCCTGCAGAGAACAGGGGGCAGCCCTTTCTCTGCCCTGCCACCTTGCAGCGGCCACACCCCTTCTCTGGCAAGAGGTGGGCTTGCAGCTCATAGGAGGATAAAAGAACATTTCCCCGGGACCTGCCTCCAGCCCTTTCGAGAGGCCAACCTGAGTCTTCTCTAAGAAAATGGCCTCCTTTGGTACTCCAAAGCCTGAGCTACCCAGATTTGAGTCAAGCAGCAGGTGACAACCCGTGGGCAGCATCCGTGGGTGACTGCAGAGGAACAAGGCAGCATCCCTGCAGAGGCAGGGGCGCGGCATGGGAGGAGGAGAGCCCAGCTGGCCGGATACCATGAGGTGGGAGGGGCCTGGACCTGCCCCTGCTTCTAGACCCCTGCCAGCTGCCCACTGGGTGTGTGGCCAGAATGCCTGCAGTGGGACACAGCAGGGCCCTGTAGAGATCAGACAGGCCTTCGGTTAAATGGACAAGGCACTTCTCTGAGTCTTAGCATCTTCATATGTAAAGGGGCCTAGTAGCTCCTACCATACACTATGAGGATCAGATGAGAAAGAGTGTCAACATCTTAGCAGGGACAGCACTCAATCAATGATTGTCGTTGTTTTACCTTGCTCTGGTTGGGGCATCTTCAAGTGCAGGAGTAGGCCCAGGCCTGCAGGTGGGTCCTGGCCATGACACGGGCTGTGACTTCCTTCCAGCCCCGGGGTGGGCCAGGAAGTGGCTGGGAACCCAGGAAGGGGATTTTGGTCCATGCTTAGGTAGGCCATAGCTAATAAAGGATAAAGAGAGTTCTCTTAGGTCAAGGAGAGACGTTGACTGTATCTTGCTACTTATGGTTGATGGAGGCTGGGTGGGAAAGAGTGCCGTGAACGATTAGTGATGTCTGTCAGGCTCAGGGTTGGAGGGGAAGGGGGTTAGATTTCACCACCTTTGTCCTCAGGGCTGGGTTAAGCTCTGGAGTGGGGAGTAGGAGCCAGGGACCCCAAAAGGATTTGGCAGTGACTTACTGAGCCTCCCTCGTAACTACCCTGAGAGGTCTCTATTCTGGACCATGAGAAAACCAAGGATGAGAAAGGGGAAGTGACTTGCCCAGGTCACCTGGCCAGATTCTGAGGGTAGGTCCAGCTGACCCAAGCCCACTGTGTTCCCCTGGAGCATGGAGGCACAGAGTCAGGGTCCACCCCAGGTGGAAGACATTTTTCTTTCAGAGCTCTCGTTTGAGACTTAGAAACGGGTCCACCCCTGCGGCCCTGACCTACTCCCTAAAGCCCCATTGGCCTGGATTTCCACTCTCCTCACAAAATGCCTCTCTCTTCTCCACTAGGAAAACGCCAAAGAAAAGCAAGAAAATGCGCTTTAAGGAGTTTGAGGAATTTACCAGGTCTGTGGCAATCATCTAACTCCACAAGGAAGGAAGGTGGGAGGAGGGGCAGCTTCGCCTGAGACAACTGGGACTCTGCACTCCTGGCACAACAGCTGGGGCTCGGTGCCCTGGCCTGAGAGGCAGTGACACAACACAGAGAGGGCCAGGAGGCATTGCTCTGGGGCTTTCCATGTGTTCACTCACTCAGATCCTCCCAACAGCCCTACGAAGTGACACTAAGCATATTCATTTTACACAGGAGGAAACTGAGGCACAGACAGGGTAAATATCATGCTCAGAGTCGCACATCTACGAAGTGATGCAGTGGGGATCTGAACCCAGCTAGGGTGGCTGCAGGGGCCGTACTCCAAACACCACATTAAAATGCCTCCAGATAACAGATGGTTCGCGCTTAAGACTTTGAGTTTAGAGGCATTGGACAAGGAATGAAGCCTGCACTTGGCCACTTGCTCAGTGTGCGACGGCCTCCCCAGGCCTCTGGGTCCTCACAGGTGAGGTCGACAGGATAACAGAGCTGACCATATGGAACTGTGGGGAGGACTGAGGTGCTGAAGTGCTTGGCACAGTGCTAAATCTCCACTTTGGTCACAGTTGGTGGGCTCTGCGATGAAGCCTCAGCTCTGGCCTGTCTGCCATGACAACCATCCCTGTGTCTTCTTGTTTTCCAGGAAGCTGAAGGTGAAGAGGTCCAGTGGTCTGCAGCAAACACACCCCAATTCCTTCTGGCCGGGTCATCTTCTGGATAAGCTGCAGCTCTACCTGCCCACTGTGGCCACAGACCGGAGCCTGGCGCTCTTCAGTTGTGTTCAACACCAGCCCCATGTCTACCCAGCCACCTACCACCCTGACCACTGGTGGCCCCTTAGGAACAAGAACTACATGACCCACGCCCATTATGATGCCGCCAAGGTGTACTACATCAACTAGAGCTAGCCAGGTGTTGCCGGACCCAGCCTTCCTGGGCCAGGGGCCAGTGCAGCCAGCGGCCCAGAGCCCAGACACAAGAGGAGTGTCAAAGAGTCAAACTAAAGAAATCCTTTCAAAGAGGGATGGACCGGGGGCCAGTTCCCTCTGGACTCAAAGTGTCCAGTGTCTCAGAGGGTAGATGTGTCCAAGGAATGACGTGCAGTTTTTGACTATTTCCCTCCCCTGACCTCTGCCCTTTCTACATAAAGCAGGTTGGAGTTTTTCTCATTTCACCTGTGACCCAGCTGATGTGATTTCTTGCTCAGGAGCTGTGACCGGGGGGAGACCTTGAGCCTGGGGAAATACAGGTACATTCCCTGGGCTATTCCAGGGATGACTGCAGGCCACCTCCAGCCTCTTGTCCCGGGATCCCAGTGGGGAAACCTTGAGCCTGGGGGAATACAGGTACGTTCCCTGGGCTATTCCAGGGATGACTGCAGGCCACCTCCAGCCTCTTGTCCTGGGACCCCAGTGCCCACAGGGAAGCAGTGTGGGTACCCCGTACTCTCCTCTGTGAAGTGAGGTGGCAGCATGTCCCGTACCCCACAAAGACTGAGCCATCAGGTTACTGCTTCCAAATCTCTTGGGTCTTTGGAAACTGAAGGCAGGCTCTGTGGTTCATGAACCCTCCCAGTTGATGAACCCACTTGACCCAATCAAGACCTTTTCTTTCATGACAGGCATCATTCAGGCTGCCATTAGTAATGTGCTTCCCTGCTCCGCATCCCATCTCACTACATACAGCCTGCAGGATAAGCAAGATTCATGAGGTGTGGAATAGCCACAGATGCAGCAGGGTTCTAGCCCCAGCACTACGGCTTGCCAGCTGTGTGACCTCAGACATTCCACTTCTCTGGGTCTCCTCAAACTCCCCATTCTCCTCACACCCAAAAATCTCACCATGGAGTTGTTAACACACCCTTCTCACCTCTCTCTCATTCAGTCATCAATACAATCCAGTTTAGCTTCTGACCCCATCTGGTCCCTGGAACTATCCCTGTCAAGATCGCCAGTGACATCTGTACTGTGTTCCAGGAGTGGAATCTAGGAGGTTTTTTTCCTCCTGAAATTTGATTTTCAAAATAATCTTAAAAACAAAAGCTAAGGGCTGGGCGCGGTGGCTCACGCCTGTAATCCCAGCATTTTGGGAGGCCAAGGTGGGCAGATCACCTGAGGTCAGGAGTTTGAGACCAGGTTGACCAACATAGTGAGACCCTTGTCTCTACTGAAAATTAAAAAAAATTAGTCGAGTGTGGTGGCGCACACCTGTAATCCCAGCTACTACGGAGCCTGAGGCAGGAGAATCCCTTGTCCCTTGAACCTGGGAGGCAGAAGTTGCAGTGAGCCGAGATCTTGCCACTCCACTGCACTCCAGCCTGTGCAACAGAGTGAGACTCCCTCTCAAAAAAAAAAAAAAAAAAAAAAAAAAAAAAGCTAAGCAAATCAAGAACAAGCTTAAAAATTAGACAGTAGCTGGGAACAATGGCTCATATTTGTAATCCCCGCTACTCAGGAGGCTGAGGCGAGAGATCGCTTAAGACCAGCCTGGCCAAAATAGTAAAACCATAACTCTACAAAACAACCAACAAAACAAAGCAAGGTAGTTTAGACTAATGGTTAGAAGCGTGGAGCTTGGAGTAAAATCTCCAAAATTCTCCTTCCACATATGCAAAATAGAGACAATAATAGGTTACATTATAGAATTGTGGTAGGCCCATCGTACGTTAGCGGTTCCGGTCTCATCACTATTTACTATGTAAATTCAGTGAGGGAATTTTGGGAAGTCGGTCTTGATCTCTCCTGACCGCTAGGAAGCGCACTTCGGAGTAGAGGAAACAAGGGCGGAAATAGCCCAAACGCTAGATTGGCTTCAACTTCTGGCGGAAGTAGATTCCTCCCTACACCAGGTCTCAACTCAGAAAGAATTCCAACTTTCTAACTAGTGCCAAGGGCAGGTAAGATAAATTTTCCTTTACATTCTTAGATATTACTCTCTATTAAAACAGTTAAATTCGGCATTTCTGCAGCACTCTTTCTTTGACATGTCTTTTTTTTAAGGACCCGGAGCCGGAAGTGCTTGCCTTTTCCCTGTCAGGACCCAGAGGTTACCTCCCATCAGCCCCGGCGCTCTCTCATCCCTTCTCTCTTCCTTGGTGCTTCTTTTTCCTGCTCGGTGAGTTTGTTTGTTTGTTTGTTTTTGAGACAGAGTCTCACTTTGCTTCCCAGGCTGGAGTGCAGTGGTGCGATCTCAGCTTACTGCAGCCTCCGCTTCCGGGGTTCAAGCGATTCTCCTGCCTCAGCCTGCCAAGTAGCTGGGACTACCGGCGCCCACCACCACGCCTGGCTAATTTTTGAATTTTTAGTAGAGAGTGGGTTTCACTATGTTGGCCAGGCTGGTCTGGAACGCCTGACCTCAAGTGATCCGTCCGCCTCGGCCTTCCAAAGTTCTGGGATTACAGGCGTGAGCCACCGCGCCCGGCCTGAGTGAGTCTTAATCCGTGGCCATCTGCGTTCCTGCAGGCTTCATCTGGCCCTATGGTCCCCTGGTAAGGAGGCCTTCCCTACCACTCTGTGTCTGTGGGTATTGTCGGCTTGCTGGAGCGCGTACACGAACAGAGTGAAGCAGGCAGCCGGGGTGGTGGTTGGGCTTTGCGTCTATTGACGAAAAGAGTCAAACTGTGTAAAGTATTTGAAAAGACTTATTCTGAGTCCAGTATGAGTGACCACGGCCCGTGACAAAGCCCTCAGGAAGTCCTGAGAACATGTGCCCAAGGTGGTTGGGGTGCAGCTTGGTTTTGTACATTTTAGGGAGGTGTGTTGGGGGGCCTGGTCCGGGCTGTTGGTAGATTTGACAATTGGTTGAGTTTGTCTAAAGACTTGGAATCAACAAAAAGGAATGCCTGGGTTCAGATAAGAGGTTGTGGAGACCAAGGTTCTTATTTATGCAGAGGAAGCCTCCAGGTAGCGGGCTTCAAAGAGAGTAGATCGTAAATGTTTCTTACCAGGCCTGAAAAGGTGCCAAAGTCTTAGTGGAGCCTCTCCTGGCTCAGGGAGAAGACCTGGAAAGGGAGGGGGATTCACTACAGGACGTAGATTGTCCCCACAAGAGACAGCTTTACAGGGCCATGTCAGAATATGTCAAAGAAATATATTTTTGGGTAAAGTACTTCTGTTTCTTTCAGGGCCTGCAATCTGTCATGTGATGCTATACTAGAGTCAGGTTGAAATTTGGTGTCTTATTGCTACAAAGTCTGTTTTGTCAGTCTTGGGATCTCTTTTAATGCTAACGCTGGTCAGCTGTGCCTGAATTCCATAGGGAGAAGGGCATAATGAGGCAAGTTCGACCCCACATTCCCATTATGGCTTGAACTAGTTTTTCAGGTTAACTTTGGAATGCCCTTGGCCAAGAGCAGGAGTCCATTCAGTTGGGTGGGGGGCTTAGAATTTATTTTTCGGTTTATACCGTGCTTACTGATGTTGGCCCACGTGCATTCATTCATTGCCATGACCCCACGTTCCTTTCCTTCTAGCCTGTGACCCTAGGGCTGCTGTGGTGGGACTGCAAAAAAAAAAAAAAAAAAAAAAAAAAAAAGATGGGGTGCAGGTCAGCTCACTCAGTTGTTAACAGAGATTTTGATCGTCAGGAGCTCTGGGAATATAAAGATGAAACTTCCCCCTTGCCTTCAAGGATATCATGGGCCAGAAGGCAAAGTTGTTTTGAATACGTGGTTCATTGAGTACCCACTCTGTGCCAACTGATGGCTGCAAAGAGAACAGAAGGGGTGCTGCTGTAGGAAATAAATGAATGGCTCAGAAGACCACACTGAGGAAGTTGTGAGTTGATAATGGAAGATCTCCAGGTTTGAGGCATCCTTAGAGGGATATGATGGTTTTGTGTGTGTTGGGGGTGTGGTAGCGCAGCTGCTACCTAGGGAATTAGAAGGTTTTCTTTATTGAACATTTACCCTGTGACAGGTACTGCAGGCATTCAGCACACAATGTCGTCTCCATTTTACAGGTGAGGAAACTGAGACTCCAGTTCAAGTAGATGGTCAAGGCCAGTACTACCGGAAGGACCATCTGGGGGTTCAGACACTGGCAGGGTGGGATTTGCTGCCCCTTGCAAATTGAGAGTGTCTTGGGGTCAGTTTTGATTTGCTCAGCTGTTGGCATTCTTTGGGCTCTGAGTGGGTGAGGTGACCCTTGACCTCCTGGGATCGCATCTGGAGACTGCCTAGTATTCTGCCAGCTTCGGAAAGGGAGGGAAAGCAAGCCTGGCAGAGGCACCCATTCCATTCCCAGCTTGCTCCGTAGCTGGTGATTGGAAGACACTCTGCGACAGTGTTCAGTCCCTGGGCGGGAAAGCCTCCTTCCAGGATTCTTCCTCACCTGGGGCTACTTCTTCCCCAAAAGGCATCATGGCTGCCCTCAGATCCCTTGTGAAGCCCAAGATCGTCAAAAAGAGAACCAAGAAATTCATCCGGCACCAGTCAGACCGATATGTCAAAATCAAGGTGTGTGGTCCTGGGATGGAAATGGGTGTGGGGTGAAGAAAGGAGTTTCCAACAGGCTGCCAGTTCTGACATCACCTAGTCAGGATTACCTTTGACCGATGAACTGGTTTGTGGAAGAGCTTTCTGTGGAAATACAGGTCTCCCCCAGTGTGCCCTAGTGCTGGTACTTACGTCTCTTGATGTGTGAAGTGAAACTTTAATGAAAAGGGACACTTGGCCATTTTGATATGTTTGGAGGGCTTTGCATTTGTATCATGTATTTTGGGTTGCCTTATGACAGCAGGATCCCTATTTTATAGACAAGAAAACTCAGAGGTGCTGAGAGCAGTGTCTGCACCTGTGCTCGCCATCTCAATATCTACACAGTCCCCTCGCATCCCATTGGTGTCTCCATTTCTTGGGAGTGAGAATGGCGGGGGTGCCTGCCTTCCTAGTGGCAAAAGCCACGAGCTCCTGGTTTTTCCCACCAAAAAAGCATGTAAGGAAATAGTGAAGTCCTATTACCAAAGGCAACTACTGTGTGGCATACTTCCTTTTCATTTGGTCCTTTTTTCCCTCCCCTATGGAACAGTTGGCAGTCTGCACAGATGCTAACCCACCTGTGTATTATTTCCTTCAGCGTAACTGGTGGAAACCCAGAGGCATTGACAACAGGGTTCATAGAAGGTTCAAGGGCCAGGTCTTGATATGATGCCCAGCATTGGTTATAGGAGCAAAAAAAAAAAAAAAAAAAAAAAACCAGAAAGCACGTGCTGCCCAGTGGCTTCCGGAAGTTCCTGGTCCACAATGTCAAGGAGCTGAGAGTGCTGCTGATATGCAACAAGTGAGTTGGGTCCATCTCTGGTTTCAGGGGTCTGAAGTTTGCATCTGTGCGGGCACTTCTGGCAGGAACTCTGGAAACTCTTGGGATGCATTTTGGGAAGCTGACATTCTCTGAGGGAATGTGAAGTCATTCCTTACAGGAGTTTAGAGAATGCTTGTTTGGGGCCAGGTGTGGTGGCTCATGCCTGTAATCCCAGCACTTTGGGAGGCCGAGGTGGGCAGATCACCTGAGGTCAGGAGTTCGAGACCAGCCTGGCCAACTTGACGAAACCCCATCTCTACTAAAAAGACAAAATTAGCTGGGCGTGGTGGTACACGCCTGTAATCTCAGCTACTCAGGAGGCTGAGGTGGGAGAACCAGCAGGAGAGGTTGCAGTGAGCTACGATCGCGCCACTGCACTCCAGCCTAGGGCGACAGTGAAACTCCATCCCAAAAGGAAAAAGAGAATGCTTCTTGGGGAGTTCAGTGTGTTTCCTTTGTTGGAGAGGGGAGAGACTTTTGTCCTCATAGCTGTGGAGTCCCAAGACCAGAAAAATGGACTTTGCTTGACACAGTGAACACAGCAGTAATCACCGGTTTTCAATATAATATCTTTTGGCTGTTGTTTCCAGAATGTTGCTTTATTTATGAGGGAATTTGGGGAAGATCAAACATAGGCCTCAGACTTTAAGAGGCCCTTTATGCTTTGGTAAGGGGTATTTTCAGGGGTACGGAGGCTTTACAACCAAATGTGAACTAGAGGGAGAATAAGAGGAAGACTTTGTGGACAGAGAGTACTTTACACAAAGGTGGAGAGTGCAAGGAGGGGTCACAGGACATTAGTGCTAGGTAGTGTTTACGGTTTGTTTTTAGAGACGTTTCTACTCTGTTGCCCAGGCTAGAATGCAGTGGCCATTAACAGCTATGATGATGGCCTGCTGCACCCTTGAACTCCTGGGCTCAAGTGATCCTCCTGCTTCGCCCTCCCAAGGTGCTGGGATTACAGACATGAGCCACCATGCCTGCACAAGAACAGCAGGTTTAAAAAACTAGGCAAGCTCACGCCTGTAATCCCAGCACTTTTGGGAGGGCGAGGTGGGCGGATCACAAGGTCAGGAGATCGAGACCATCCTGGCTGACACGGTGAAACCCCGTCTCTACTAAAAATACAAAAAAAAAAAAAATAGGCAAGCAGAGGCAGCAGGGGCAGTCTGTGTGGGGTACAGGGGCAGTCTCTGTGTGTGCGCAAGGGTAGTCTCTGTGTGTGTGTGTGCAAGGGCAGTCTCTGTGTATGTGTGTGAGTGTGTGTGTGTGCAAGAGCAGTCTGTGTGGGTGCAGGGGCCGTCGGTGTGTGTGTGTGCAGGGGCTGTCTCTGTGTGTGTATGTGTGTGTATGTGTGTGCAGGGGCAGTCTGTGTGTGTGCAGGGGCTAGCTCTGTGTGTGTGTGTGCAGGGGCTAGCTCTGTGTGTGTGCAGGGGTAGTCTGTGTGTGTGTGCAGGGGCCGTCTCTGTGTGTGTGTGTGTGTGTGTGTGTGTGTGTGTGTGTGCAGGGGCAGTCTGTGTGTAGGGGCCATCTGTGTATGTGTGTGTGCAGGGGCAGTGTGTGTGTGTGTGCAGGGGCAGTCTCTGTGTGTGTGTGTATGTGCAGGGGCAATCTCTGTGTGTGTGTGTGTGTGTGTGTGCAGGGGCAGTCTCTGTGTGTGTGTGGCCTCTGCTCAGCTCCTGGGAAGGGGCTTCTGATCCTCTGTCAACATCAAAGGAGCTGGGCCTTGAAAACCTATCTCAGCCTCCTGGTCTGAATGCAAAGCCATCGGACTCTCTTCCTGGGGCATTTGGTTATGTAAAGCCCTGCGCCAGGTTCCCAGAGTGGGTGCTTCAGCTTTGGGCAGCAGTGGGTCCTATCTCTGGGAACACCGACAGTGACTCCTTGTGTCAGGTAGGTGGGTGTCAGAGTGTCCTCATTTCATAAACAGGGACATTCAGAGGCCTTTGGCCCTTGCCCAATGTCCTGAGGCCAGAGAGCAGTGGAGTGAGCCTAGCCGTCCACAGGCTGTCCCACCCACATGCTCAGGATGCAGGGACTCACCGTAGGAAGAGGCGGAGAAGATGAAGGGCTGGCGGCAGTTGATGCAGACGTTGCCCAGGTTGTTGAGCAGCGGGTTGTTGGTGGAGCAGCGGTAGCACAAGGGCACCAACTCCTACAAAACAGCCACGGACTCCCGAGGGGCCGGGGCAGGCACGTGTCCTCCTCCCCCTGGACTCTGGCTTCGGGCCCCTGGGGCCTGGCTGCCAAGAGGAAAGGCCACCCGGGTGGGCAGGCAGGGAAGGGGTGCCAGGCCCAGGAGCTCCATGCCATGGGGAAGCAGGATAAAGGCCTGCCGAAATACCCAAGCCCTGTCACTTGGGTCCCTAAGAGGTGGGCATGATTATTTCCATCTTGCAGATGAGAAGAATAATGTCTGGGGTGAAGGTGAAGCACCCAGCCCAAGACTCAGCAGCCAGGAAGTGGCCCAGCGCTCTTTATACCACGGGTGCAGGAATTCACACAGAAAAGTGGAGGCCAAGGCGTGAGAATTCCTCAATGACTGCCCTCTAAAGGAAGAGGTGAGTGTGGGGCCTGCTCTGAGTGCTAAACACAGGCAGTCTCTGTGTCTCCCAAGGAACCCAATCGCTATCACATTTGCTTTAAATATTTAGAGACGCACGATTTGTTTCCTTGTCAGTCAAAGCCAAGAGGTGGCATGTGATGACATGCTGCCAAATGCTCAGGGCACAGACGGAAACTTTCATGTCAACCCTGACATAGTCACCACAGATCTCAATGGCCTTGACGTGCTCTCCTGCTGAGATTTACATCCCCACGGTGACTTTGGGCTCTTTCATATTTCTGGCCCAGTCAGCCTGTTTGGTGATTAGCATCTTTGTTTCTTTGGGGTCTCCAGATCCAAAGAAATCCTGAGGAAGCACAACAAACAAAAACACTCTGGATCAGAACTTCCTGTGCCAGCGTTACATCAGGGTTTTCTAGCAGCAAGGGCGGGCTCCACATGGCTGAAGCAGGCAACCAGGAGGTAGGCAGGGCCCGGCCCTGAGGGGCTGAGTTGGGGGAGTCCCAGGTCTCGGGAAGAGTGATCTCAGGCTGCCCTGCAGGTGTTCCTGGGGGATCCTGGGACAGCATCAGGGACGCTGGCCCCCAGTGCTTCCTTCCCATCTCACAAATGGGCATTTGTTCATCGGCTAAACAACACTTTCTAGACTATTTGGGGCACTGCACATGAAGTCTGCAGGGTCGGGGGTTCATGATCAGGCTGTCTCTCTCTCACATAGTTTGGTAAATACAGGACTGTTCCTAAACAGCAATGAGACAACCTGGTGCACAGTTCCACATATCGAGACCTGTCATCTTATTCAGATCATATGGGTGATACCACATGCTTCAGAGTGAGGCTGAGCATGGGTTCCCCTAAACTTACACAGACAAAATGACTTACAGTGTTTGCCGGCCCTCCGTGCCCTCCATGCCCTCTCTGAGTCACCAGCAAACATTCTGTGCCCTGAACTAGAGAATCATCACATTGTCTTTGCCCCAGTTACTTTCCTGGAACAGATAACAAGCAAACCTCTCTCTGGTTAGTTGCTTCTCGGCTGAATGGTTAGGGATCCTGTGCTGAGGTCAGGTCTGCAGGGGTGAGAACCTGATCCGACAGTGGGACAGCAGGAGGCCATGGGGGGATCTGAGGCAGGGAAGGTGCTCAGGAGAGGACCTGAGAAGGAAGAGATGGCTGTGGTCCTGGAGGCTCAGGGATCAGGCCTAGGGCCTGTGTTCCTTCGGCCTCAGCATACCTCTGAAGCGGTATGCCCAGCTTCTCTGGGCAGGCCCTACAATGTGTGAGAAACAGCCTCAGAACACCACCTCTTTTCAGGGTAGTTACCCAAAATACACACGTGGGAGTTTGCCAGAGTTGAGGCAGCTTTTAAAGGTGGAGCTTTTCAAAAAGGGAAACTGGGAGCACTTACAGCCCAGGTCTATGTTACTGGTAAGAAGTGGTTTGTCTCAGGAATAATGTACCCTGTGGAGAGTACTTTGTGTCAGCCTCACTGAGAACAAAAAAAGCACTCCTTTCCCCATGATTAACACTCATGTGTCAGGAAAGTACAGTCAATGTATGCTAAAAATCCACTTGAACAATTAGCTCGCTTTTTTCCCTCATTTGCTTTCAGAGTAAATGTGCTTTCAGAGTATTAGGTCGGCCTAATATATGATACATTTTAAGAAGGGGAGGAAAGCGCATTGTATACCCTGATGCTGGGACCCAATAGAAGACAGGCCCCCTGGCTGGCCTTTGGTTCTCCCTGGAGCTGACAAAGGGAAGGGGCTTGGAAAGCAGCCACTGTCCCCGCCTAGTTTGGGCCTTTACAGACACACCTTTCCTTTTGGCAGCTGCTATGGCACGGATTCTCTATGCCAGCACGAAGCTGGAAAACCTGCCTACCTGGCTGGTGAAATGAGGGTGGCAGCTGGAGGAAACAGGCATCTTAGGAGACTAGAAATGTCCTTCAAAGGGACTTCAGTGAGTGCTCAGGGGACCAGGGGTGACTGTGTTAAGAAGGGTTAGAGGTTGAGAGGGAGCCATGAGCTTGGGTCATCACCCCAGTGAGACCATCCAGGCACACAGCTCCCAGGCTTGGGAGGCCGCCTCCAGTCCACCAGGACCCTCAGGGAGCTGTGACTTCATTGAAGCTGGGTCTAAAGGCTTCCTTCAAGGCTCAGCAAACTGGGTTTTCAAAGATTTTTGATCCCTGAAGCTAATTTACACGTTATGTGGGGCCATGGCAAAGACTTGGCCCTGAAGTGGACAGAAAGAGGCTGTGCTGAGTGATGAATGAGACTAAACAGTGTTCTCATGCTTGGTGATTTTGATGAGAACATACTACATAAGAGTTAAGAGCATTATAATTCCCTTTATCACCATATAAACATGTCACTTATCCGGAAAGCATACAATTTATTTGTACATGAGAATGTAAATTTAAAAATTTTCTGAAAACTAGATTAAATCTTGAGAAGCAATTTTCAAGTAAACAAAAACATGCCATGTTAATCAGCACTAGATCTCCCCCACCCCCCACATAATGTGTATGTACACATTTCTCAAATTCAGACTGCAGTACAGCTGTCTCCTTGGAGGCGTCAGGGGTTCCTAAGCCTAAATTCTACCTCTAGGGTCTTGATCCCTCAAGAGTTCATCCTGAGTTAAAATTTTGTTATCCCCGGAAGCAGAGATGCACTGACTCTGGTGATCTCAGTATGAATGTGGTATGAAATCTTCTAGGTGTCTGTGGTGGGGCCTGAGGGAGGGTAGGAAAGGTGACGAGGAAAAAGTAGAGGGAGCCTGAACACCCTGGGTCTCAGGTACGGAGTGAAGAAATCACTAAGGTGAAAAGACAGGCTGGGGCCCAGGAGCTCGTCCAAGTCCTGATGAACAACAAGTCCTGGGCAACATCACAGGCCACCAAACACACCTTCAGCTCCAGGGTCGAATAGATGGTGGAAGAGCACAGCCATCTGGAAAATCAGAAAAAAGTGGGGAAGATTTTCTATCTTGAACTTGTGAGCTGGAGAATTACCATTAGTAGCCCACTAATAGGTTATGGCCGATGAGTCCCTTCATAACACACTGAGAGCCACTTTTGACACTCCCAGAAAAGGCAGGTTAACAAAACCCCTTGATGGAAGGAAGACCCTCATTGCCCAATGTACCCAAGCCTCTTTGAACCTTGCTTAGACTGAACTGCAAATGTCTTGACTGCTCTGGGCTCCTTAGTGCAACTCCTTCCCACAGAAGCCATCAGGAGCCTGGTCCAGGAAGCTCCTCTCCTACACCTGCCTTAAAAGGCCCAGCTCTGCTGGGGAGTAAGGTTCATGGGGGCCGTCCCAATGCAAAAGGGAATCTCTGCCATCACCCACTGCAACCACATGGTAGCCACTCTGCAGCCGGCAGGCGTGAGGCATGCTGCGCTAACATGGGAGGGCGGAGGCTCTGCCTGACTTCCCAGAAGCCCAGTGAGAAGTCCAGGACAATCAGCAGGTGCTATGGGAACCTTGGCTGGCAGGCACCATGTCGTCCTGTATGATCGGCAGGACCGGCTCCTTCCTGAAGACACCGATTCTTGGCGGCTCCTGACAAGGATTGAGAGGATTTGTGGGGGACAGCCCTGAAGCCCTGAGCCCTCAACTCAATGAAGGGATTGTGCTGGTGTAGACCCACAGCCATCCAGCTCTGTCACTGATGAAGGTCTGAACTGCCATACTCTGCCCCTTTGGTGTCAGCCTTAAAGGTCAGTTTTAGGTGAGTTTCAACCAGTGGCTGTAGATGGGTCCTTTGTTTACCAGTTTCCCCACATCCTGTCTGAGACCATTGCTAGTTTTTGTCTGCACCAGTCTTAGGGAAAACAACCTGGACACCGTGGGTGAGATCACCAGTGGGCTCCAAGCCAGAGCATGGGCCTGGGACAGGGTGGGTTACCTTGGCATACTCTAACATACTCAAACCTCATTTCTTTTGGGGTGATCAGACCCAACAGCAGGTCATGGGGGCGACGAAGTCCAGTGGAGTCCAAGGAATGAGAAAGACAGTTTGAGAGACAAAATGGGACCAGGGGGCTATCACAAGTGTGGAGGCTGCAACAAACAGGTGGTGAGGATGTGGGGGTTGAAAGGAAACGGTGTATCAAGTGAATGAGAAACATATGGCTACTTGAGAACATGGGAATGCTAGAAGCAAGGAGCAGCAAGTCTAGCAAACATGCAAGCCCTGCCTCAGCTTCTCTCCCAACACTCAGCTTTTCTTCCAACACATTTCATGTGCAAGGTTCTCGTGCCCACTCCTCTTGTACAGTTTGGCAGCCTCATGGAGCTTCCCTGGTAGGAAAACACATCTGCCAGAAACAGGTCATTGTTGGTCTCTCCCCGCTTCTTCCTCTCCTGGAAAAATTAGAAGCAAAGGAAATGGCCTCTGCAGCCATGGGCAGAAAGCAGCCTTTACAAAGGTTAGATGTGGCTATTTCAAGTGAGGCCCCTGGGCCTTCCTACTGGAACCTGGGCTTGGCTCCTGGCTGTTGTCTCTCTCCCCTAGGTTCCCGCTGGGAAGGCTTGATAACAAAAGCAGGCTTTTACCAGACAAGCAAAGATCAAAAAAAGATGCAAACCTTTGTTTGTTTAATGGAAATTCCTCAGGGTTGCTTTCCTGTGTATTCCAAAGCTATGACGGAATAGTTTGAATAGTGTGTGCTCTGACTCATCCATGACCCCTAAGCTCCCAAGATCTCCCAAATCCGCAGGCCCCGTTTGGCAGAGTTGTGGCTCATGGGGATGACAGAGCAGAATGTTTAGGGTTTCTGCCCAAGAGGGAGACCAATAAAATAGGATGACAAGTCTTACGATGTCCCTACTTCTAAAGAGAAGGTAAGAAATCCCGTGCTGAACATCCACTAGGTTCTGGGTATATACTTTATACACACATGGCCCCTTTATTCCTCTCAGTGACCCTCAGGGTAGGTCTCACTACCCAAGTGTTAGAGTGAAGGACGCTGAGACCAAGAAGAGGAACAGGTCAGGGTCAGACAGAGCTGGAATTTGGACACAGTTCTGTCTGACTCCAGATATTCCTTGTATCACACAATACTGTCTTCTGAAGCAAGTGATTGTCCCCAACACACACACACACACACACACACTCTCTCTCTCTCTCTCTCTCTCTCTCTCTCTCTCTCTCTCTCTCAGCAGAGCTGAGGATAAAGAGGAATATCCTGCACACTTCTTCCTTCTGTGTCAGGGAACATTTGCTTGTCTACAGCTCGAGTATTTGTAAACACTCAGTAGCACCCAAACCCTGAGCCCTAGCAGTTTCCTTTTGCTTGTTTACTAGCAAGAGTAGCATGTCGGAGGACGATGAGACATTGAATCAAACTCTTAGACAAGCTGGTGAAAGTTTTAACGACTGCTGGAGGCAACATGCTTCCACACTGACAGAAATCATCTTTCAAAAATCCTGCACATATCTCAGGCTTATGAAACAAACTAATTCCTAATAGTTGGAAATGAATTAAAAGCTTGCGGTGAGATAAAAGATAGATTTTGGCTGGATGTGATGACTCATGCCTGTGATCCCTACACTTTAGGAGGGCACAGCAGGAGGATCGCCTGAGCCCAGGAATTCAAGACCAGCCTGGTCAACATAGCAAGACTCTCTCTCTGCAAAAAAAAAGAAAAAAAAAAAAACCTCCCAAAAAAAAGGTTTTACTAGGCATGAAAATGAGTCCATTTCCATTCTAGGCCCCAGGATATCACCATGACCAATAAAAACAATCTGTGGCACTCAGCAGGTGCATGTCAACATGGGCAGGTTCTTTCTCCCCGTCAGCAGGACAAGAACATCTCCCCTATCCAAAAGGCACCCACTGAGGATCCGCAGTTCTCTGGAATTATGCTGAGCACCCAGATGTGTGCAACTAAGCCCTGAGCAGTCGATGTGGAGCGCACTTGAAGGCACTTCATTTTTTTTTAAGATACACTCTTAGGAGTTTACTTTAACCCACTTCCCAGCTCATAGCACACGAGGAGAGGCAGACATTTTAACCTTGGTAAGACCTGACAAATGACAATAGTTGGACCCCACAGCAATCATTACTTTTGTAGACAGCAAAGTTATGCTCCTTGGCTTCAGGTGAAGACCCCCAGATCCAGGCCAGTGGATTTACAAGTGAGAGTCAGCAGCACTGGGCATTTCAGGCAATAGCTCTGAACAAGCCCTTTACCATGCGGGTAGGTAAACCCCAGAATATACAGATGCCCCTTACGATACATGGGTGGGGAGGGTATGTGGCCGAGAGAGCATAAGCTTAGGAGACAGAGTGGATTTGAATTCCACTGAGCTTTTGGCTGTGGACCCATGGGGACGTGGCATATGTCTCGCTGAGCCTTAGTTTCCTCCTGCATGGAATAGGGAGAGCAATAGTACCTGCCTCATTCAGCTAACGTGAGGATCTAGAGCAGCATTTGCATAAATGACGCGTGGGGCACAGAGCAGACTCAACACAGAGCAGCTTACGTTATGAGGCTTGGCAGGCTGGGAGCTCCTGTCGGCCTCTCTCCTCAGCTCTGTGCCCACTGAGCTCGGCACAAGGGTTGGCCCATGACAGGTGTTTATTATGTGGAAATAAATGAGAGGGACAAGACATTTGCTGATTTCTTCACTGTTTCCAACTGGGAATTCAAATGTATCTCACGTTCCCATACCCTCACAATAAATCTGTTCAGGAGAAAAAATGTGTACGCCTTTTAACAGACAGCACTGAGATATACAGAAAGTAAGAACTTTCAGGCTGGGCGCGGTGGCTCACGCCTGTAATCCCAGCACTTTGGGAGGCTGAGGCGGGTGGATCACGAGGTCAGGAGATCGAGACCATCCTGGCTAACACAGTGAAACCCCGTCTCTACTAAAAATACAAAAATTAGCCAGGTGTGGTGGCGGGCACCTGTAGTCCCAGCTACTCAGGAGGCTGAGGCAGGAGAATGGCGTGAACCTGGAAGGCGGAGCTTGCAGTGAGCCAAGATCGCGCCACTGCACTCCAGCCTGGGCGACAGAGCAAAACTCCGTCTCAAAAAAAAAAAAAGAAAGAAAGAACTTTCTGTCTAAGGGCAGGGCGTGGTAGCTCAAGTCTATAATGCTAGTACTTTGGAAGGCTAAAGTGAGCTAATTGCTTGAGCCCAGGAATTTGAAACCAAACTGGGCTACATGGCAAAACCCTGACAATACAAAAAATACAAACAAAGTTAACCAGGCGTGGTGGTGTGCACATGTGGTCCCAGCTACTTGGGAGGCTGAGGTGTGAGGATTGCTTGATCCCAGGAGGTCTAGGCTTCAGTGAGCCATGATTGTGCCACTGCACCCTGGCCTGGGGAACAGAGTGAGACCCTGCCTCAAAAAAAAAAAAAAAAAAAAAGAATAAAAGGAATGGTGTCTACCACCACCCAGCGCCCAGTTTCATTAGCCCACTGCAGGCCTATTGGGTTGGATGACAAACTGAATATTCTCAGCCAGGAACAGTAGGGCTGGGAGTTGCTCCAGAACTCTGGGGCGCTCAGTTCAGACTGTGGGCCTTGCTCCCCAGGTCCATTTCTGGGGAATGGAGCTCAGCTCATGTGCATTTGGGAAACTCCTCCAGCGCTATCAGATTACTGGAGTCTGAGAGGATGGTGACCAGCTATCCGCCACCAGGAGGATGCAAACCAGTTCCTGAGAACCTACTGAATCCTCACAGCAGCCTGTGACGTAGGTCCAATCCCTTTTCACAGACAAGAAACCCAACCCTGGAGAGATCGGGAACCCATCTGCCTCAGTCAGTTACCACGTGACAGCTCACACTGCCCACTGCTGTCTCCTACTGTGTGGCCACTCTGCCCCTGGAGCAAGGCTGTGGCCCAGATGCCCAGACGCCAGTGAGCTCTGCTCCCGTGTCCTCAGGGCTTTTGCCTGCTGATATGGTTTGGCTGTGTCCCCACCCAGATCTCATCTTGAATTCCCATGTGTTGTGGGAGGGACCCCGTGGCGGGTAATTGAATCATGGGGCAGGTCTTTCCCATGCTGTTCTCATGATAGTAAGTCTCACGAGATCTGATGGTTTTAAAAAGAGGAGTTCCCCTGCACAAGCTCTCTGTTTGCCTGCTGCCATCCATATAAGCTGTGACTTGCTCTTCCTTGCCTTCTGCCATGATCATGAGGCTTCCTTAGCCATGTGGAACTGCAAGTCTAATTAGACCTCTTTCTTTTGTAAATTGCCCAGTCTCACGTACATCTTTTCCAGCAGCGTGAAAATGAACTAATACACCTGCCACAAGGGCTGCCCCTGAACCCCGAACCCCAAGTCCACTTTCTTGACAAGTAAGAATGCTTCAACTTTTACCTCAATGCTGCTGATGAGGTCTTGTACTCTGATGAAAGCCTGTGGGGAATAATAAAATCAGCTGCCTTCTTGGCTTCAAAAGTGGGTGACTGGCTGGGGGTGGGAAGTCAAGCTCACCTAGACAGTGAGCCACAGAGGAGAGGAAGGGAGCAAGCACAAATTAATCATCGTGCGTGCAGGAGGTTATACCACCCAGTGAGGCGCGGCTTTATCCCCAAAATTGGATCATGCAAAGAACAGCAAAGACATCCCGGTTGCATCAGTCATTTTGGGATCAGGTAAAACAAAACCGCGATGCCACAGTCTGTGGCGGTGCCTCCTTGGGAGACTCTCGAGCCAAAGAAGAAGCCAGTTTGACCCTCGGCGGGGGGCGGGGGGGGCGGGCAGGCAGCATCACAGCAAGAGAGAGAGAGATGCATGGACTGATGAGAGACTGCCTATACATCTTGGCGACATGGGTAGAATGCAGGGGACAGCTGTGCCTACCCAGTCGTGCCACAGACACAGGGGACCCAGAGCACCTGGTACTGCAGAGGGCGTGGAGGAGGGGAAAGCTGAGAGGGCATAAACACAGATTCTTGGAGAAGGTGGAGGGGTAGGGAATGAATCCCGCCAAGTCTGTGGAAGGCAAACTCTTATATAAATCCTAAAATTGCAGCCCTTGCCTTGAACTCACAGTAAAGCCAGAGACTTTAACTCATGGACCTCTAGAAGTTTCTGAGGAACAAGCAGACTGGTGTTAGCTAAGCTAGTTTTGCTGCTTTCAGATTCTGCCCAGGGTTTGGAGGAGCACAAGCCACCAGGTCAGGCTGCTTTCAGGTGGCTTTGCTGTCACCATTTATCGCCCCATTCAAAATGGGCTGACCTGTGCCTAGAGGAGGCAGCAGCTCCAGAGCCCTTTGAACCGAACACGCAGAGCAATCCTGACCACTTGCAGCCTCTGCTCAGCAGCATGGCATCCTCCCTCCTGAAAAGACCTCAGGGGATGAGCGAGTCCCCAGCCTCTGGCTGCCTTGCAGGTGACCACAATGCAACTTCATCTTTTCATCCCACAGGACCAGGCTTCCTGTCAGAGACTGAGGACCCAGGAAGAAACATGTCTCGGCCCCTGTCCCCCTCCACAATTCAGAGGCCACATTCTAACAGGGGAGGCTGACCAATTAAACAGATAATGACACCTCCTAGAGCTAAGAGCTCTCCGACTATGAACCAGATGCCTGGAGAACACGGATGAATGGTCTGAGCATGAGCAGGGGTGGGAGGCAGCGTTAAGGGAGGCATCAGAGTCAGAACCTAGCAAACAAGTGTTTGTGAAGAAGAATTCATAGAAAAGGGCAATGCGGGCATCACATGGGCTAAGGAACAGAGGGGTAGCAGTAGCTGTTGTGCCAAGCTGCAGGTGTTATACACTACCCTCTAGATCTGGGTTTCCTTAAAACACCTTGAGAGGACAACCCTGCAAAGCACGGCACAGTGGCCGAGAGGGAAAGGAGCATTCGAGGTCTCAGTCCTCGCTCTGAGCCTACTTCTCTGCTTCTGGGCTCCAGCCATCTTTGTGGAAAGGGGGCTGCTAGTGACACCCTCTCAAGGGTCTTTCCAGCTCTAGGTCGGCTGTGCTGGAGTCTAGGATTTGCCCACTGAGAAATCTGTTTCCAAGTTCCTTCAACCTGATGCATCCTGCAGCATCACGGCAGCTGTTCAGAGTGGTCAGAAGGCCCCTGAATGAGCTCAGTAGAGGGAAGCCTGGGAACAGGGAGGCACCTGCAGCTCTACTCATGGCCTGGCCAGAGCTCAGCAGCTCTTCTCTGCCATCTAGTGGGGATGGCATACCATCACTGGGGACCACCCTGTGCAAACTGGTGAGCCTGAGTGCCTGTCACAGAGGGAAAGAAAGGGGGGGGATACAGGATTTAGATGAAATAGCAACTCCTACCCTATTGTCAAAATCATCCAGCTTTTTCAAAACATCATATTGTACTGATTTTTTTGTGTTTTTGACAGAGTCTTGCTGTGTCACCAAGGCTGGAATGCAGTGGCATGATCTCGGCTCACTGTAGCCTCTGTCTCCCTGGTTCAAGCAATTCTGCCCCAGCCTCCCAAGTAGCTGGGACTACAGGCATGCGCCACCACACCCAGCTAAGTTTTGTATTTTTTTAGTAGAGTCAGGGTTTTACTTTGGCCAGGCTGGTCTTAAACTCCTGGCCTCAACTGATCTGCCTGTCTCGGCCTCCCAAAGAACTGGGATTACAGGCATGAGGCACCGTGCCTGTCCCATGTTGTACTTAATAGATATTTACCATATACAATTATTTTTTAATTTAAATAAATCAATGAACAGTGTTATTTTTTAAATCTTGTGGCTTTAATACACCCTTTCAATTCTCAGGGAGTGTTTTGGTGATACAGGCTGGGGAGTTAAATAAATGAACGAATAAACTTAGTTGTTATCCATTCAAATATTTGTTGAGCACCAACCTGTCTAAGGCACTGTGCTAGGCAGTGTGCAGTGTTATTAAGATGAGGTACGTGTTTGGTTCCTGGGTGTAAGGAGGTGACAATCTAGAGGGAAGGTTCTTAATTTCATTCTGTGCCCAAAACAACACCTATTCTGGGGATTTGTCATCTTCCTCCCTGCTGGCATTTCTGGGTGGGGCAGGAGAGGGAAGCTCCCTCCATGGGGATGCCTCCTCCCTCCTCTGAATCTTACAGCTTCCTCCATCTCCACTTTCCTACACTGGGGACATCTAAAAATATAATCTTGATCATTGTGTAACAATGTTCAAGTAATGGCTAGCATCTGCACAACCATCCCTGCTTTAAATTCCCCTTTACAACATCTCAGTTAAGCCTTGTGACTGCAGTGGGCATTCTCACTACCCCCATTTCAGAACTGGGAGGACCGGGGCTCTGAGGGAAGCCGCTGGCCTGAGGTCCCAGAGCCCCTTACGTGACACAGCTGGCTCTCAGCCGGCTTCTGAGTCCTGGTCTGGTCCAGTCTCCTCTCTTCATGCCTACAAGTCTTGATCTAACCCAAGGCGGGCATCACGTCCCTCTTTGCCACTCCTTCAATGTCAGCCCAGGAATATGGACAAAATGAGCAGCTCCTTAATTGACTGTGGGGAGATAAAGAGGGAAGGGGTAGGGGAGTGGAGGTTGGAAGCCATTCCTTCCTCCATCTGAGGTTCTAGATGGAAACACAGCTCAGGAACATACCTGGGCCTTTCCTTATGTGCAGAGAGGGGTCAGATGTTTTCAGCCATCTCTCTAGCTTTCATAGACTAGGCCAGGAAAGGACACAACGAATCAAGTCCATGAATCCCGCCATGAAGGTACGTGGGAAGTGCCCACATTGCTGTCAGAATCAGAGACCTTGACCATCTCTCCCACCTTAGTTGGCAGATGCTAAGAAAAGCAGCATTGTGTGCAGCATCATGGCCAGTGACTACACCGATAATAAAAGCCGCCATTTACGGAGTGCCTGTGATGTGCCAGGCTACTAGTCAGGTGCTTCCCATAGAGAACAGCTAATAAGAGTGACAGCCAGAATCTGACATGCTGCTCCTGGGTCAGGCTTTACAGGCATCCTCCCATTTGATCCTCACAGCTTTGTGAGGATGGGGCCTGTCATCACCCTACGTCTATAGAGAAGCAATCTTAGAAAGGGTGTCACCTACCCAGGCCCACAGTGAGGAAGTGGCTAAGATACAAGCCCAGGTCAGCCTAACTCCAGAGACTGCTGCAGTCTATGGCCTCTCCGTGCCACCTGCGTCCCCATCTGCCTTCTTAAGGGACCCCACAAGGACCAAACTCCAGCTCCTGCTGGCTAGATGCTTACCTTCTTTGCTGTTTCAAAATCTAAACCTAGCGCTTCCATGGCCAGTGCACGCCAATCAGTGTCTGTGACACCCAAGCAAGCAATCTGGTAGGCTTCCTTGAACAGTTTCCTATCCAGGTACTGGTACATGGGAGCAGACTGCAGGATTTCATCAAGGGAAAAAAAGACTGTTTTCAGGGCCATGGAAAGAACCAGATGCATACAGAGCCTGCCTCCAGATGCGTGGGACGATTACCCATGCCTGGGGAGCAGCCCTGCAGCCGCCAATCAGCACCCTGCCCAGCCTGCCCAGCCCACCCTGTGTGCTCCGTCCTGCACCTCTCTCATGACTGGGCTACTGTGCTCCACAGCACAAACTCTGCCCATCCTCCCCTCCTTCCCACCTGCAGGCCTGCCTCACCATAGGATGTTACCCTCGTCTGGAATGCCTTTGCCCCTCCCCACTCTCCCTCTGAAAAATACCTATTTGGCTTTCAAGGCCCTGTTGAAATGTCACCTCTTCTGGAGAGTCCTCCTGAGCCCCTCAAGCCCCCACCCCAGGGGAAGGAGTCTCAGCTTCCTCTGCCCTTTGTCCAGATTTCGGGTTGTGATGCAGTTATAGGCCTGTTCCTACAGCAAGGCGGTGCATAGCCCATGGGCAGTGATGGGTTGTACCCGCCACCTTTGGCAGGCCCCCAGTCTATGTTTGCTGACAGAATGAATGAGTTCCTGGGAGGAAGGGGTCTGGGATGGCCTCTTCTTCCAGGGACTGAGTCCAAGAAAGGTAAGTGATTTGCTCCAAGTTACCCTGGAAACCCCTGGAAACAGGTCTCCTGCTCCCTGCCCTGGGGACAGATGCCATCCTACAAGATGGGGTTGCCTTGCTGTGAGTGCCCATGAATAGTTCCTAACGACTTCTCTTTCTTAGGTTTATAAAGGGCTTTTGGCTGTCCCCATAGTCCTGTACAGTAGATATTATTTCTCCCTGGCTACAGCCCAGGAGACCGAGACTCAGAGAGGACAACTGACCTGTCCCAGCAAATAGCTGGCAATAGCCAGAGGTGACTTGACTCCAGGTTCTGTGCCCCTTCCTGCCACGTATGTGGTCATGTGTATATGTGCATATGTGTGTACATGTTACTGGTGGAGGGTCTTGACCACAAGCCATCAGGTTCTTGGTGTTTTCAACAAAGAATTGAACAAAACACACAAAGCAGTGAAGGAATGAAGCAACAAAAGCACAGATTTATTGAAACCAAAGTACACTCCACAGAGTGACAGCAGGCTTGAGGAAGTGGCTCAAGAGCACCAGTTGCAAAATCTTCTAGGGTTTGAGTACCTTCCAGAGGTTTCCCATTGGTTACTTTGTTATACCCTACGTAAATGAAGGAATGGTCCACAACCATTGTGATTGGTTGCAGGAGGGGACCAATCAGAGGTACTTTTTTATTTTTTATCTGCTATGTAGTGCAAAGGGAGTAGCCTCTGATCCTTTTGTTACTTGGGTGTGAAGAGGTGAGGTTTTCCTTTTGATTCAGTTCTAGGAAGTCAGCATGAATCGGCCTTAGGTTCCCTCCCTCCAGACCCTATTCTCCTGCGTCATGCGGGAACAAGAACGAGTCTGAGTTTGGCCGGGACATCTTCAACAAGGAAAGGCCTTGCCCTTGTTTTAGGCCAGCCAGTGTGCTTCGGGGGCCTGCATCTCTCCTGGCTTCCTGGGCAGGAAAGAGCAGTCACCTGGGACCTCTGTGCTAATGGTTCCCAAATGTGGATGTGGAAGTGCTGTTTTCTCTGTTTGGGGTCTTTATCTTTGAAATTTCCAGTCCCATCTTTTAGTTTTAGTATTGAAGGCAAGTTTTTTCTCTTTAAGCTTGTGTAAACCAAAAGTAAAACTCTAAGCCCTCTGTGCCTCCATTGAATGAACCCCTCCCCTTGGAGAAGGGGAATTCCAAAAAACCCCTAAAAAACTAGTTCCAACCATCATGGGCATAAGGGGTCAGACTTGCCTCATTTTACCCTCCTCCCTTTAGAGTTTAGACACAATAGACCAGTATTAACAAGAAAACTGGGGTCTCAAGACTGACAAAACAGACTCTGTAGCAATGAGGCAGGATAGTACAGTCTGGAGGCAAGGAACTTAAGGCCAATTCATGCTGAATCAAGGAAAAACACCAAGGTCTGGGGGGAAGCAGGGAATCTGAGGCCAATTTGTGCTGACTTCCCAAAGCTGGATCAAAAGGGAAACACCTGGGTCTGGAGGCAGGGGCCCTAAGGCCAGTTAATGCCAACTTCCTGAAGCTAAACCGAAAGGAAAAACCCAGCTCCCCATGCCTTAGTAGCAAAGGGTCAAAGGTTACTCTTTCTACAACCCTCCCCCTTCCACCATGGCTTAGACAAAAAGGGAGAGTGGCTTGGAGTGGCCACAGGCCAAGCAGGGACCATCCCTTCATCTGCATAGGGTGCCATTCACCTCAGTGTTTACTTAGCCACAGACCAAATCCTTCAACTATATAAGGGGTAACTGATAGGAACCTCAAAAGGAGTGCTTGAAACCCAGAAAACTTTGTAACTGGGCCCTTGAGCTGCTCGGGCCCAGTCCCACCCTGTGGCGTACCTTCTCTCTTTTATAAATCCCTGATTTTGGTACTTCGATCCTGTGTTTCATTCCTTTGTTACTTAGTGCATTTTGTCCAGTTTTTTGTTCAAAACACCAAGAACCTAGACAACTTACACCCAAGGCCCTCCTTCCAGTAACAGCAATAGAACACCGTATTTCAACATGATTCTGATATACCATTGATGGCAGTGGCTGCTCCAGATCACTGTGTTTTGGACAATGAAATGTAGCCAACTGTTCAACTGTAGCTCCCAGCTGCAGCAGGGAGACGTGGCTGGGGTTGCACACTCCATGAAGCCCTTCCAAGTTGGGGTGGGAGCTCCCCAGGTGCCACTGCAGCTGCCCAAACCATTGGGTTGCAGACCTGGGCCTCCCACTCCACAGAGCAGGCAGGAGCCCTGCCCTCCGGGGCAGGGCTGTAGCTGCCCAACTTGTGGCTGCAGGTCTGAGCCTCCCTGTGCTCTTGGGAGGCCAGGAGCAAGCAGGATCCCTGCCCTCCCAGGCACAGCTGTAGCTGCCTAAACCATGGCTGCAGACTCAGGCACCCCTGCACTCTTGAGGGCCAGGAAGCATCCCTTCCCCTTGCAGGCTCAGCAGTGCCTGCTCCCATTGCCTGGCTTCTCCCTGCTGTTGTTGCCCACTCCAATCTTGGAGGAATGTTGGGGCCAAGCTCAGGTGTCATGAAGGCAGCAGGAGGCAGACAGATTCCTGGATGGAAGGGGGCCGGTCCCCAGTGAGGCCCCACCTTCAGGCCAGGGAGGGTCTGAAGGCTGGGAACCAAGGCTGCCAGTCTCATGGACTGGACTGGGAACTTGTGGTGCCTTTTCCAGGCCCACCCAAGTACCAATCAGCATACACTTTTTCCCCTCTGAGGCCCATAAAAACCCCAGGTTCAGCCAGAGCTAAGCAGACTATGGGATGACCAGCTGCAGAGAAGAGCTACCCTTTCTGCTGAGAGCTTCACAGGCCTGCAGAGATGTTGGGACTACCAGCTTCAGAGAGGAGCAACCCACTCCAGGGCTTCCTCTCTGCTAGGAGTTCGGCAGATGTCAGGACGACCAGTAGAGAGTGGAGCTACCCTCTCCAGGGGCTCCAATCTACTGAGAGCTGCAGAGACAATGAGATGAACTGCCTGCAGAGAGGAGCCACCCTCCCAGGGCCTCCTCTCTGCTGAGAGCTGAACACTCCACAGGACCACCTGCCTACAGAGAGGAGCTACCCATTGTGGGTCTCCTTATGCCCATGATGGTTGGAACTAGTTTTTTTTCATGACAGCATCATGAAACAGTAGGCCCTTAAGGAAATCAAAGTATTTTACCCCAAAATATATTTTGTTGACATATTTTGAAATGGGCCTGCAAAGCTTTCTCTTGTGTGGGAAAATTTGCATTCTGTAGAGAATCTCCTTCTCTTACTAGGTCTTTTCTGGAGAGGCTGACACTTTTTAAGGTCAGACAAGAGACATTTGCCATCTATTCTCTCTGAAGTTTGCTACCTGAAGGCTTCATCTACATGAAAAGAACCTGGGCTTGGCTGGGCACTGTGGCTGACACCTGTAGTCCCAGCACTTTGGGAGGCCGAGGTGGGTGGATCATGAGGTCAGGAGATTGACACTATCCTGGCTAACATGGTGAAACCCCATCTCTACTAAAAATATAAAAAATTAGCTGAGCATGGTGGTGGGCACCTGTAGTCCCAGCTACTCAGGAGGCTGAGGCAGGAGAATGGCATGAACCCAGGAGGTGGAGCTTGCAGTGAGCTGAAATCACACCACTGCAGTCCAGCCTGGGCGACACAGTGAGACTCCATCTCAAAAATAAAAATAATAATAATAATGTTATCATTAGGATTATCATTATTTGATTCATATTTTTACTACTCAACAAATGTTGAATGATAAACATATACATTAGGCTGGGAGTGGTGGCTCATGCCTGTAATCCCTGCACTTTGGGAGGCCGAGGCAGGTGGATCATCAGTTCAGGAGATTGAGACCATCCTGGCTAACACGGTGAAACCCCGTCTCTACTAAAAATACAAAAAATTAGCCAGGCGTGGTGGCAGGCGCCTGTAGTCCCAGCTACTCAGGAGGCTGAGGCAGGAGAATGGCATGAACCCTGGAGGCGGAGCTTGCAGTGAGCTAAGATCGCACCACTGCACTCCAGCCTGGGCAACAGAGCGAGACTCCGCCTGTAGTCCCAGCTACTTGGGAGGCTGAGGCAGGAGAATGGCATGAACCCTGGAGGCGGAGCTTGCAGTGAGCTAAGATCGCACCACTGCACTCCAGCCTGGGCAACAGAGCGAGACTCCGCCTGTAGTCCCAGCTACTTGGGAGGCTGAGGCAGGAGAATGGCGTGAACCCAGCAGGTGGAACTTGCAGTGAGCCGAGATTGTGCCACTGCACTCCAGCCTGGGCGACAGAGTGAGACTCCATCTCAAAAAACAAAAACAAAAAGAAACAAACAAACAAAAACCAAGCTGTGACCCAGCCACCTTGGGCACATGTTCTCAGGACCTCCTTAGGCTTTGTCAGGCCATGGCCCTTGACCTTAGCAAAAGAAACCTAAGGTGATGGAGACTTGTGTCAAATACTTTTTGGTTTATAGCCATTTACCCTCTGACAGCAAGACGTGGCTGCTCCCAAGAGCTTATCTTTTCCACTGTGCCATCCTTCTCACCTTCCCCTCCTTTAGCCGGGCAGCAGGCATGGGCTGGGGAACAGGTGACCTAGCTCAGCTACATCCTAGGCTTGTGACTTAGGGTAAATCCATTAACTTTTTTTTTTTTTTTTTTTTAGATGGAGTCTCACTCTGTTGCCGAGGCTGGAGTGCAGTGGCGTGATCTCAGCTCACTGCAACATCCACCTCACAGGTTCAAGCGATTCTTGTGCCTCAGCCTCCCAAGTAGCTGGGATTACAGGCATGCACCACCACGCCAGCTAATTTTTGTATTTTTAGTAGAGACAGCATTTCACTGTGTTGGCCAGGCTGGTCTCAAACTTCTGACGTCAAGTGATCAACCCACCTCGGCCTCCCAATGTGCTGGGATTACAGGTGTGAGCCACCGTGCCCAGCCTAAATCCATTAACTTCTGTTTGGATGCCCTGCCCAGCTCAGGCTACCATCGGCAAACAAGAGAGGTGCTCCAGAATTGAGGAAGCACTGGGCAAAATGCAGGCATGATCGTTAACCTCTGTAAGTGGACCCAGGTTCAGCTACATGAGCCAAACATGAAAGGTGAGGGCTGGTGGGAAGAAAAGCAGGTTTAATTGGAGAGCCGGCAAATGGAGATGTCAAACGAGCGTTCTAAAGGAGCATCTTACCTTTTCAAATTGACCATAGGGGTTTTAAAGCGAAACTTGGCATGGGAGATATGGGAATGGTGCAGGGCACAGAGTCTGTGTCTTTGTCCCCATGGCTGTCTCAGGTCATTGCTGGTCTGGAGGTCTGATTGGTGTTATTGTGACTTTGGCCCAATGGTGGTGGACTAATTGTTCATGACTCCCCCTAAGCGGGAGTATTCCACAGAGGCTCCATGCCTGGTTTGTTTCAAGATTCGCCTCTGGGGTTTCTTAAACAAGAGCATAATTAGATAAACATGCATTGCCGGAGAGGAGTGTCTACAGAGGGAAGGAATGAAGGGGTGAGAGTGGAGAGGTGAAAGAAAAACAAAGTAGGTGATTTTTAAAACTGAGGTCCCAGCAGCCAAACAACCACTGGCCTCGAGATAAGCAACATTAAAACCATTTACACTCCTCTAATGTTGACTGACTGACAACCGGCCCCATTCTACCAGCCACAGCTACGGCTTTAATTAAACAAGAGACTGATTTCAGTAACTTTCCCCTGATAAAAAGACCACCGAGCTTGCATTAGTTCTGGCCGGTCTACAAAAATCACACACTTGGATGCCTTTGTGTCCCGAAAAAACTTTTTGACATATAGGGCCTAATTGTAACACATTTAAATGGTCCCCACTCCAAACTGAACATGGGTCATATGTCACATGCGTATTTGTTCAATACACATGTCAGGACCACCTTCACGAGCATTCATAGCTCCTCCCAAAGCCTGTTAAATATGTATAATTAGCCAACCTGTCCTCAGATCCCCACTGGAGCTCTGGGTACAATTGACAGTGGGAAACATGGACTATAAATTTGATTGACCAGCCTGAACAAAAAAGTGAGAGCCCATCTCTACAAAAAAATCAAATTTGCCCTGGGTGGTTGCACACACCTGTAGTCCCAGCTACACGGAGGCTGGAGCAGGAGGATCACTTGAGCCCAGGAGGTCGATGCTGCAGTGAGCCACTTTCATGCCACTGCTCTTCAGCCTGGATGAAAGAGTGAGACCCGGTCTCAAAATGATAATAATAAATTTTAAAGAGACTGAATGTTGTGTGTACTTCCTGGATAACTCCAGAAACATATTCTCAGCCCTGCGAGACATACACAAGTAAACTAGTGCTATGTCTGATCCCACAATATCTAAATCAATGGCTTTTATCATGGTTTGTATCAGGCCCCTTCTGGTGGAAAAATTGCTCATGATTTTGGCCATGATTATAGGAACAGGCTTATTCTTCTGCTGTGGACTCTATTGCTGTTGTGTGCCATGCATGGGAATGCAGGACCAGTTCTCCCAGGGGCTTCTGGCCCTTTGCACCATGATGCTTCAAAAGATTTTGTCTGTAAGTTCAGGGACTTGCAAATACTTTCAACTCCAAGTAGATCAGTTCCATTCCACAGCTCCCTAACTACTCCCCTTTTCAGTCGGAAGTAGCCAGAATTAGTATATTGCTCATTTTCCATGGAAATGGAATGGAACTTGACAGTAAGGATTTTGTAACCAGAGACTTCAGTTTTGCTGTTTTGGTTACCGTGGCCTTATAGCATAGTTTGAAGTCAGGTCATGTGATGCCTCTGGCTTTGATCTTTTTGCCTAGAAGTGCTTTGGCTATTGGGGCTCTTTTTATTTTTTATTTTTTTATTTTTATTATTATTTTTTTGAGACAGAGTCTTGCTTTATCGCCCAGGCTGGAGTGCAGTGGCGCGATCTCGGCTCACTGCAAGCTCCGCCTCCCGGGTTCACGCCATTCTCCTGCCTCAGCCTCCCAAGTAGCTGGGACTACAGGCGCCCGCCACCACGCCTGGCTAATTTTTTCGTATTGTTAGTAGAGACGGGGTTTCACCGTGTTAGCCAGGATGGTCTCGATCTCCTGACCTCATGATCCACCCGCCTCGGCCTCCCAAAGTGCTGGGATTATAGGCGTGAGCCACCGTGCCCGGCCTATTGGGGCTCTTTTTTTCTTTTTTGGTTACTTGTTAAATCAAGTTTAGCCTAAAGCTGCCTCCTTACATATTTTAAGTTCAGCCTAAAGGTTTCTCTGTACATTGTGAACTATAACAAGTGGAGGTATAAACGGACCATAGCCTACACTTGTGCCAATCACTGAGTTTTGGACAATCAAATGTAGCCATCTGTTCAAACTGTATTCAATAAGGCAAATGCCAACCTGTAACCAATCCAGCTGTTTCTGTACCTCACTTCTGTTTTCTGTACATCACTTTCCTTTTTCTGTCCATAAATCCTCCACCACTTGGCTGTGCCGGAATCTCAGAGTCTACTGGCTCAGGAGGCTGCCCAATTCACGAATCGTTCATTGCTCAATTAAGCTCTTTTAAATTTAACTTGGCTGAAGTTTTTGTCAATGTGAATTTTAGAATTTTTTTCTAGTTCTGTGAAAAATGACATTGGTACTTTGATACGAATAGTGTTGAATCTGTAGATTGCTTTAGGCAGTATGGCCATTTTAATTATATTGATTCTTCCAGTCCATGAACACGGAATGTTTTTCCATTTGTTTGTATCATCTGTGATTTATTTCAGCAACAAAAAACAACCCTATTAAAAAGTGGGCAAAGATATGAACAGACATTGCTCAAAATAAGACATACATGCAGCCAACAAACATGAAAAATGCTCAACATCACTAATCATCAGAGAAATGCAAATCAAAACCACAATGAGACACCATCTCTCATCAGTCAGAATGGCTATTATTAAAAAGTCAAGAAACAATAGATGCTGGCGAGGCTGAGGAGAAAGGGAATGCTTATACACTGCTGGTGGGAATGTAAATTAATTCATACACTGTGGAAAGCAGTTTGGAGAGTTCTCAAAGAACTTAAAACTACCATTCGACCCAGAAATCCCATTACTGGGTATCTATCCAAAATAAAATAATTCTACCAGGCCAGGCACAATGGCTCATGCCTGTAATCCCAGCACTTTGGGAGGCCAAGATGGAAGGATCGCTTCAGCTCAGTTTGAGACCATCCTGGACAACCAGGGAGACCCTGTCTCTGCAAAAAAAAATTTAAAAATTAGCCAGGCATGGTGGTGCCTGCTTGTGATCCCAGCTACTTGGGAGGCTGAATTGGGAAGATTAATTGGGCCCAGAAAGTCAAGACTTCAGTGAGCTGTGATCAGATCTCTGACAGAGCGAGATGCTGTCTCAAAAAAAAAAAAAAAAAAACAAATCATTCTGCCAAAAAGACATGTGCACTCACATGTTCATCACAGCACTATCACAATAGTAAAGACATGGAATCAACCTAGGTGTCCATTAATGGTGGATTGGATAAAGAAAATACGGTACCTATACACCATGGAATACCACGCAGTCATAGAAAAGAACAAAATCATGTCCTTTGCAGCAACATGGCTGCAGCTGGAGACCATTCTCCTAAGCGAATTAAAACAGGAACACAAAACCAAATACCACACGTTCTCACTTACAAATGGGAGCTAAATATTGAGTACTCATGGATATAAAGATGGCAACAATAGACGCTGAGGACTACTAGAGGGAGGAGGGAGAGAGGGGAGCAAGAGTTGAAAAACTAACTCTTGGGTACTGTGCTCAGTACCTGGGTAATGAGGTCATTCATATCCCAAAGCTCAGCATCACACAATATACCCATGTAACAAACCTGCACATGTGCGGCCTGAATCTAAAGCAAAAGTTGAAATTATTATTATTCTTATTATTCTGAGACAGGGTCTTGCTCTGTCATCCAGGCTGGAGTGCAGTGGCAGGATCACAGTTCACTAAAGCCTCAACTTCCCAGGACAGGGGCCGTCCATGGACATCTCTGCAGAGCAGCAGCCCCTTTCCAACCTGGGCAGCTTGCACAGGACTGCATGAACGTCGCCTAAAATCTTCCCCACAGGCCAGGCACAGTGGCTCACGCGTGTAATCCCAGCACTTTGGGAGGCTGAGGTGGAAGGACTGGTTAAGTCCACGAGTTCCAGTCCAGCCTGGGCAACGTAGCAAAACCCTGTCTCTACAAAAAATACAAATGATAGCTGGGCATGGTGGCACGCTGCTGTGGTCCCAGCTACTCAGGAGGCCGAGGTGAAAAGATCTCTTGAACCCAGGAGGCGGAGGTTGCAGTGAGCCGTGATTGTGCCACTGGGCGACACAAAGGAAAGAATACATCTTCCCCGCAGCCCAGCTCTGAGCATCACCAGTGACTCCGCCTGCCACTCCCCACTTGCTGTGCTGTGGCCACCCCTCCATTCCTTCCCACCGGCCAAGGCCAGTCCTGCGACCCTCCTTCAGTGTACTTTTCAGGTCCTGTGCAGCAGCTGGCCCCATATAGGTTTCCTGCCCCATGGCCTGGGGTGACCCCTGCGGCCCTTAGGAAACTGCTCGCCCACGAGGACACCCTGCCCCCATCTGAGTCAACCGAAGCTGCCCAGGGACACCAGGGTACCCTTCCCTCTACTCCAGGCAAAGCCACCAGGACCTCTGCAAGCAGCTGGGATGGGGTGGAGAAGCAGCCCCCACGTGATTCTGGGAAAACCCACACACCACACACATATGCCACACGCACACCACACAAACACAGATACACACACACCAAACACACACACACCATACACACACCACACACACACACACACCATACAAACATATACACACACCACACATACCACACACACATCACACATGCACCAAACACACATACACACACACCACACAGACATACAGACATACCACACACACCACACACACACACACCAAACACACACATACATTACACGCCATGCACCTATGCCACACATACACACACACCACATACACATACAGCGCATACATACATCACATATACATTCACCACACACTACATACACTACACACATACACGACACACCCACACACACCACACACCCACCACACACACCACACACATACACATAAAACGCACATACTATCCATACCCTCACCCACACCACACACTATGCACATATGCCACACACACAACACACACATACACACCCAAACACATCACACATCACACACCCACAGCACACACCCATACCACATACATACATATATACAAACACCACACACATAAACTGCACACCACACACAGATGCCAAACCACACACCATATGCATACACATACAATACACACCACACTCACACCAACACCCACACTCACATCACAACCACACACCACACACATACCACACACCACACACACCACCCATACCACATCCACACACACACCACACACACACATACCACATACCACACACATACATATACACCACACCACACACCACATTCAGACCACACGCTACACAACACACCCACAACATACCACACACAAACACAGCAAACACCACACACATACACCTATATCACACACCATACCACACACCCACACACCACACACCCCAGCCACTCCACATCCACACACACCCACACCACACACGTCACACACACACCTGCATGCACACACCACACACATGCACATACACAATACACACCACACCTCCACACCACACCCACACCCACACTACACACATCACACACCTACCAAACACATCACACCCACATCACACATCACAACGTACACATATACCACACACATACAACACCCATACTGCTCACACTACACACCTACCACACATACCACATCCATACAACATGCATTCACACACACCACACTCACCACACATATACACACCGTACCGCAAATACACGTACACACACCACACCTATACCACACACAAACATATCACACACATACACCACACCACACACATACACTCTACACATATGCACATGCACATCATACACATTCACCCACCACACCCTCCACACAGTACACACATACACACCATACCACACAATATACACACAGCACACTCACATATACCACACACGTACACACCACACTCATCACTTATATCAAAAACACACTACACACAGCACATCCACACCACACACATCAAAACACAATGCACACTCCCCCCCCTTATCATTTATAAGCAGTTACAGAGTTGTTTCAACTGTGAGCAAACCATGACCAGGGAAGACTGTAAGGAAATTCACCGTGTCCCCTCACTGACTTCGCCTTGGGGGGCCTCTCCAAACTCTTTCTCTTTCTGCTTCCTTAGACTTTCTAGATCAGAAACAACATCGCGTCTGTAACCAACAACAACCTGAAAAAGTGACTTTCATAAAAATCCGGGGCTAGATTCCTTTCCAGATAACGAGGTTGAGAGTGTGAACTGAGTGCCCCAGGTCAGGGTGAACGCCTGGCAGGGAAGTGCACCTGACTCCTGACAAACAGGCAGCTGAAAGGCCAAGAGAGTGGGGAAGAACGGCTGCTAGCCCCTGCTCTCCAGGCTGGGCTGCTTTCTGGAAGATGGCACAGCAGGGAGGGCGAGCAAGCCGGCCCAGTGTGGACACCTTATGTATTCCACCTCAGCCTCCAAAATAGATAGGAAGTGCATGCCACCACGCCTGGCTAATTTTTAAAATTTTTGGTAGACAAAGGGTCTCACTATGTTGCCTAGGCCAGTCTGGAACTCTTGGCCTCAAGCAATGCTGGGATTATAGGCCTGAGCCATCGTGCCTCATTTCTAAGTGTGTCCTCATTTCTAAGTTAGAAATGATAATTTCTTGGGACGATCCAATGAGATCACAGGCGTAGGAGGGTGAGTTAACAGTGGAAAGCTGTAACATGAGCCCGGAAACAAAAGTATCAGTCCCCATCTTGGGGACCCCATCAAGCCAGGACCCCGTTCCTGGTTCCCCGAGTCCTGCCTCACTGCACCGCTTCAATGACAAGCAGCTGCATTCAACTCACCTTTGGGGGGACTGCCTGTGAGTTATGCTGTTTACTCTGCACAACAAATGCGTGAGGCAAGTCTCACTCTTCCATCTGCAGCAGGGGGAATGGGAGGTCCTCAAAGAAACAGAAATTGGCTCCCCCAAGGCCACATGGCCAGGAAGGATGGTGACCAGAGCTCAGACTCCAGGCTCCCGACCTTCCCTGTGTACCCACCAGTTCCCCTGTGCCTTTGTGTGCTATTTCCAAGCTGGGCAGGAGTCCTGGGGAGGAGACATAGGGAAAGACTGATTTAAGATTTCTTTCTTCTTTTTTAGAGACAGGTCTCACTCTGTCACCCAGGCTGGAGTGCAGTAGTGTGATCAGAGCTCACTGCAGCCTTGAACTCCTGGGCTCAAGGGATCCTCTCACCTCAGCCTCTCAAGTAGCTGGGACCACAGGTGCACACCACCAGGCCCAGCTAGATTAGTCTTGAACTCCTGGCCTCAAGTGATCCTCCCTCCTCAGACTCTCAAAGTGCTGGGATTACGGGTGTGGGCCATTGCGCCCAGCCTAATTTAAGATTTCATGTGCAAAGTGCAGACCCACGAGGTCACAGGCACGGCTGTGATATCCATTATCCTGGACAGAAGCACCACATTTTTCCCCAAGTGATGTTTCCCCTTTGGAAAGCTTTGTCCACAGGGGAATAGCATTTTCATTTCCAGGATTCCAATACAATAGGGTGTGTTCTAAAAAACACAAAAATCACAGTGCTATGCATCTGTGTTGCTGAGAGAGTTCACTTGTAGACATAAACCCTGTGGCTTGTCGGATAGCTTTGTTACATTAAAATCCTGCTAGTTAGGACAAATGGGAAAATAATGTGGGGAAATTATTATGGAGTACTTTAAAAGAATCTGCATATTGGGGGATGGGGGACTGAGAGTGTCAGGACAAATAGCTAATGCTTGCAGGGCTTAATACCTAGGTGACAGATAGGTGCAGCAAACCACCATGGCACACGTTTACCTATGTAACAAACCTGCACCTTCTGTATATGTATCCTGGAACTTAAAGTAAAATTCTAAAAAGAGAAAGAAATACATTATTTTCCAATCCACAATGACACTCCAGCCAACTGCAGCCGCTGCGAAGAGTCGTCTTGCTTCAATGCTTCAGACGTTGTCTCTATCCACTCATTTTACCACGTGCAAAAGTCTGTGCTGGCACCTCACACCTATTTGGATGGCTCCTATCAAAAAACAGATGCTAACAATTGTTGGCGAGGATGTGAAGAAATTGGAACCCTATGTACTATTGGTGGAAATGAAAAACAGTGCAGCTGCTATGAAAACAGTATGGTGGTTCCTCCAAAAATTAAGCACAGAATTAACGTATGGTCCAGCAACCCCACTTCTGGGTATATACAGGAAAGAAATAAAAGTTGGGTCTCAAAAAGATCTTTGTACATCCACATGAATAGCAGCATTACTCACAACAGCTACAGTGTGGAAGCAACCCAAGTGACCATCGATGGAGGAATAAACAGAATGTGGTGCACCCATCCTTATAGTCAGCCTTAAAAAGGAAGGAAATTCAACATGGATGAACCTTGAGGGCATTACTCTAAGTGAAATAAGCCAGTCACAAAAGAATAAATACTGTGTGATTGTCCTTAGATGAGGTCCCTGGAGCGGTCAAACTCATGGAGACAGAAAGTGGAATGGGGGTTGCCAGGGGCTGGGGGAGGAGGAATGGGGAGTCAGTGTTTCATGTTTGGGAAAATGAAAAGTTCTGGAGATGGATGGTAGTGACGGTTGTATGATAATGTGAATGTACTAATACCCCTGACTGTACACTCAAAGATGGTTACGGTGGTCAATTTTATGTTATGTGCATTGCACCACAATAAAAAAGGGACTCTGTGAGCTCATCCTCCAGGGTGGAGTGTGTGCGGGCAGCCTGGGGAGGGAGCACGGCTGGAACATGAGGGAGGGCCGAGTGGAGGATGAGCTTGCAGCATCCACGCCTGCGCCCTCGCTGCCCCACCGTGGAGTGCCCCGGGGGGGTGCCCTGGGACAGGGAGGCCACATCTGAAGCCAGGCAGCACAGCTGGACCGAGCCCCCCAGTAGGGTCAGCCCTGACCAGGGGCCGGTTCAAAGTCAGCAGGGTGGGCAAGAGTCACACTCAAACCAACGCCCCAAGGAAGCAGCACGAGAACCAGCAGCAGCTTCCGGGCTCAAAGCAAGTGACTCAGCGCACCGACTGCCCTGGCTGCCTGGGCTGCGGTGCCACTTGTCATCAGAGGGATGGCTGTTGTCCCTTTGGCTGAGCCCAGGTGAGGCAGCCAGCTTACATTCAGGGGTGGGAACACATGTGGGCAGACACTGGACTCACACTCGGCAGGCTAGAGGCACACGGCCCATGAGGCCCCAAGAAACTAAACCCTCCCGTTCCCAATTCAGGCACGAAGAGAGATGGAGGCAGATGGTGTCCACTAGTCCAGTTGCACTTGCTTGCTCTGTCTCCATCTCTCTCCCTCCCTCTCCTTCTCTCCAATACAGTAAATTAGCGTAGATTAAATGTGCCTGGCCTGCAATTCCCTGTAATGTATTCCTTTCCCTGGGCCCAGCTAAACCGTTAGCCAATATTTGCTGCACAGCTGCAGAATCATTCCCCAAGGCCTCCGTGCACGCCAGCTTCCTCACGCAGGCTGTGCTGGGGCCTCCTTCCAGACCAGTGCAGCCTGTACAATTCCAGGGAGGCATCGGCTCTCACAGTCCAGCACCCCCATGCCCTCCCTGCCCTCCCATATGCCTGGGGCTGGGCTCTCCCTGCAGCACAACCCTGCCTCCATGCCCTCTAAGAGGACCACACCGAAGTCCTCTTGGATTTCTATTTGGATTGCCTATGCCAGGGGCTTTCCAAGTCCAAGTCCACAGCTCCTTCCTCCTGAGAACCTGAGTGTGAATAACCCACTGCATCCCAGGGAGGATGGGCCAGTTCTGGATGATGCTGTGTGTATTTCCTCAGTGATATGGTTTGGCTGCATCCCCCACCCAAATCTCAACTCGATTTGTATCGCCCAGAATTCCCACATGTTGTGGAAGGAACCCAGGGGGAGGTAATTTAATCATGGGGGCCAGTCCTTCCTGTGCTAGTCTCGTAATAGTGAATAAATCTCACGAGATCTGATGGGTTTATCAGGGGGTTCCGCTTTTGCTTCTTCCTCATTTTTTCTTGCTGCCATGTAAGAAGTGCCTTTCGCCTCCTGCCATGATTCTGAGTCCTCCTCAGCCATGTGGAACTGTAAGTCCAATGAAACCTCTTTTTCTTCCCAGTCTCAGGTATGTCTTTATCAGCTGCCTGAAAATGGACTAATACAGTAAATTGGCACCAATAGAGTGGGGCATTGCTGAAAAGATACCCGAAAATGTGGAAGTGACTTTGGAACTGGGTAACAGGCAGAGATTGGAACAGTTTGAAGGGCTCAGAAGAAGACAGGAAAATTTGCAGCCTGACTATGCAACAGAAAAGAAAACCCCATTTTCTGGGGAGAAATTCAAGCTGGCTGCAGAAATTAGCATAAGTAGCAAGGAGCCTAATGTTAATCCCCAAGACCATGGGGAAAATGTCTCCAGGCTATGTCAGAGACCTTCATGGAGGCCCCTCCCATCACGGGACCAGAGGCCCAGGAGGAAACTGTGGTTTTGTAGGCCATGCCCAGGGTCCCTGTGCTGTGTGCAATCTAGGGACTTGGTGCCCTGTGTCCCAGCTGCTCCAGCCATGGCTGAAAGGGGCCAATGTATAGTCGGGCTGTGGCTTCAGAGGGTGCAAGCCCAAGCCTTGGCAGCTTCCACATGGTATTGATCCTGTGGGTGCACAGAAGTCAAGAATTGAGGTTTGGGAACCTCTGCCTAGATTTCAGAAGATGTATGGAAATGCATAGATGCCCAGGCAGAAGTTTGTTGCAGGGGCAGGGCCTTCATGAAGAACCTCTGTTAGGGCAGTGCAGAAGGAAAATGTGGGATTGGAGCCCCCACACAGAGTCCCTACTGGGGCACTGCCTAGTGGAGCTGTGAGAAGATGGCCACTGACCTCCAGACCCCAGAATAGTAGATCCATCTACCACTTGCACCATGCACCTGGAAAAGCTGTAGACACTCAGTGCCAGACTATGAAAACAGCCAGGAGGGAGGCTGTACCCTGCAAAGCCACAAGGGCAGAGCTGCCCAAGACCGTGGGAACCTACGTTTTACATCAGCATGACCTTGATGTCTAAGGAGATCATTTTGGAGCTTTAAAATTTGACTGTCCTGCTCTCCCTCTCCCTCTCCCTCTCCCTCTCCCCACGGTCTCCCTCTCCCTCTCTTTCCACGGTCTCCCTCTGATGCCGAGCCGAAGCTGGACTGTACTGCTGCCATCTCGGCTCACTGCAACCTCCCTGCCTGATTCTCCTGCCTCAGCCTGCAGAGTGCCTGCGATTGCAGGCGCGCGCTGCCACGCCTGACTGGTTTTCGTATTTTTTTGGTGGAGACGGGGTTTCGCTGTGTTGGCCGGGCTGGTCTCCAGCTCCTAACCGCGAGTGATCCGCCAGCCTCGGCCTCCCGAGGTGCCGGGATTGCAGACGGAGTCTGGTTCACTCAGCGCTCAATGGTGCCCAGGCTGGAGTGCAGTGGCGTGATCTCGGCTCGCTACAACCTCCACCTCCCAGCCGCCTGCCTTGGCCCCCCAAAGTGCCGAGATTGCAGCCTCTGCCCGGCCGCCACCCCGTCTGGGAAGTAAGGAGCATCTCTGCCTGGCCGCCCATCGTCTGGGATGTGAGGAGCCCCTCTGCCTGGCTACCCAGTCTGGAAAATGAGGAGCGTCTCTGCCCGGCCGCCATCCCATATAGGAAGTGAGGAGCGCCTCTTCCCGACCGCCATCCCATCTAGGAAGTGAGGAGCGTCTCTGCCCGTCCGCCCATCGTCTGAGATGTGGGGAGCGCCTCTGCCCTGCCACCCCGTCTGGGATGTGAGGAGCGCCTCGTCTGGGAGGTGAGGAGCATCTCTGACCGGTCGCCCCGTCTGAGAAGTGAGGAGACCCTCCGCCTGGCAACCGCCCCCTCTGAGAAGTGAGGAGCCCCTCCACCCGGCAGCCGCCACGTCAGAGAAGTGAGGAGCCCCTCCGCCTGGCAGCCACCCCGTCTGGGAAGTGAGGAGCTTCTCCGCCCGGCAGCCACCCCGTCCGGGAGGGAGGTGGGAGTCAACCCCCACCAGGCCAGCTGCCCCGTCTGGGAGGGAGGTGGGGGTGTCAGACCCCGCCCGGCCAGCCGCCCTGTCCGGGAGGTGAGGGCCGCCTCTGCCCGGCCGCCCCTACTGGGAAGTGAGGAGCTCCTCTGCCCGGCCAGCCGCCCCGTCCGGGAGGGAGGTTGGGGGGTCAGCCCCCCGCCCGGCCAGCCGCCCCATCCGGGAGGGAGGTGGGGGGGTCAGCCCCCCGCCCGGCCAGCCGCCCCGTCCGGGAGGGAGGTGGGGGGGTCAGCCCCCCGCCCGGCCAGCCGCCCCGTCCGGGAGGGAGGTGGGGGGGTCAGCCCCCCGCCTGGCCAGCCGCCCCGTCCGGGAGGTGAGGGGCGCCTCTGCCCGGCCGCCCCTACTGGGAAGTGAGGAGCCCCTCTGCTCGGCCAGCCGCCCCGTCCGGGAGGGAGGTGGGGGGGTCAGCCCCCCGCCCGGCCAGCCGCCCCGTCCGGGAGGTGAGGGCCGCCTCTGCCCGGCCGCCCCTACTGGGAAGTGAGGAGCCCCTCTGCTCGGCCAGCCGCCCCGTCCGGGAGGGAGGTGGGGGGGTCAGCCCCCCGCCCGGCCAGCCGCCCCGTCCGGGAGGTGAGGGCCGCCTCTGCCCGTCCCTACTGGGAAGTGAGGAGCCCCTCTGCTCGGCCAGCCGCCCCGTCCGGGAGGGAGGTGGGGGGGTCAGCCCCCCGCCCGGCCAGCCGCCCCGTCCGGGAGGTGAGGGCCGCCTCTGCCCGGCCGCCCCTACTGGGAAGTGAGGAGCCCCTCTGCTCGGCCAGCCGCCCCGTCCGGGAGGGAGGTGGGGGGGTCAGCCCCCCGCCCGGCCAGCCGCCCTGTCCGGGAGGTGAGGGCCGCCTCTGCCCGGCCGCCCCTACTGGGAAGTGAGGAGCCCCTCTGCTCGGCCAGCCGCCCCGTCCGGGAGGGAGGTGGGGGGGTCAGCCCCCCGCCCGGCCAGCCGCCCCGTCCGGGAGGGAGGTGGGGGGGTCAGCCCCCCGCCTGGCCAGCCGCCCCGTCCGGGAGGTGAGGGGCGCCTCTGCCCGGCCGCCCCTACTGGGAAGTGAGGAGCCCCTCTGCTCGGCCAGCCGCCCCGTCCGGGAGGGAGGTGGGGGGTCAGCCCCCCACCCGGCCAGCCGCCCCGTCCGGGAGGTGAGGGGCGCCTCTGCCCGGCTGCCCTTACTGGGAAGTGAGGAGCCCCTCTGCCCGGCCGCCACCCCGTCTGGGAGGTGTGCCCAGCAGCTCATTGAGAACGGGCCATGATGACAATGGCGGTTTTGTGGAATAGAAAGGGGGGAAAGGTGGGGAAAAGATTGAGAGGTTGGATGGTTGCCGTGTCTGTGTAGAAAGAGGTAGACATGGGAGACTTCTCATTTTGTTCTGTACTAAGAAAAATTATTCTGCCTTGGGATCCTGTTGATCTGTGACCTTACCCCCAACCCTGTGCTCTCTGAAACATGTGCTGTGTCCACTCAGGGTTAAATGGATTAAGGGCGGTGCAAGATGTGCTTTGTTAAACAGATGCTTGAAGGCAGCATGCTCGTTAAAAGTCATCACCACTCCCTAATCTCAAGTACCCCGGGACACAAACACTGCGGAAGGCCGCAGGGTCCTCTGCCTAGGAAAACCAGAGACCTTTGTTCACTTGTTTATCTGCTGACCTTCCCTCCACTATTGTCCAATGACCCTGCCAAATCCCCCTCTGCGAGAAACACCCAAGAATGATCAATAAAAAAAAATAAAAAATAAAAACATTATATTATCGACTATACCTTAAATTATAATAAAAAGTTATATATGTAAAATTTGACTGTCCTGCTGGATTTTGAACTTGCATGGGCCTTGTAACCCCTTTGTTTTGGCCACTTTCTCCCATTTGGAATGGCTGTATTTACCCAATACCTGTATTCCCATTGTATCTAGGAAGTAACTAGCTTGCTTTTGAATTTACAGGCTCATAGACAGAGACTTTGGGGGACTGTTGGGAAGGCATAATTAGTTTTGAAATGTGAAGACATGAGATTTGGAGGGGCCAGGCAGGGGCAGAATGATATGGTTTGGCTGCGTCCCCACCCAAATCTCAACTTGGATTGTATCTCCCAGAACTCCCATGTGTTGTGGGAGGGACCCAGCGGGGAGGTAATTGACTCATGGGGACTGGTCATTCCCAACGCTATTCTCGTGATAGTGAACAAGTCTCACAAGATCTGATGGGTTTATCAGGGGGTTCCGCTTTTGCTTCTTCCTCATCTTCTCTTGCTGCCACGATGTAAGAAGTGCCTTTTGCCTCCTGCCATGATTCTGAGGTCTCCCCAGCCATGTGGAATTGTAAGTCCAATTAAACCTCTTTTTCATCCCAGTCTCGGGTATGTCTTTATCAGCTGTGTGAAAACAGACTAATACACTCAGGAATTCTCTTTTGCACTTTCCAAGAACACTGCAGCAGCCTGACGCCCAGCACTGGAGCTAAGCCCCTCACAAGCTTCCGAGATTACAGCCCTGCCCTCCTCCAACCTTCCCCATTACTATGCAGTGGGGACAGTATCCACACATCACTTACCTTCCTGCAGGGGGAGGCTCAGGAATCTTGGCCCAGGAATATCACAGGCCTTGAGCAGGTCACTTCACTCTTCTGAGCCTCCGAGTCCCGGTCCTCAGCAAAGGGAGTTGGGGGAAGCAGCCCATTCACAGCCCAGCCTGGTGAAAGAATAGCAATCTTGGAGGGAGACGCACCGGGTTTTGAATCCCGGTTTCATCAAATGTCACTTATGTGGCTTGGGCTGTGTGACCTGGCTGTGGTATCCCCCAGGCTGGGGGGACCCAGTGAGGTAGAATGAACACCAAGTGCCCGGCACAGGGTAAGTCCTGCCCTTATCCTTGGGTGCCCTCCCAGGGCTCCAGTTCGGCCTCTTATCTAGTCCCGCACACTCACTGCAGGAGGATGTTTCACGCAGCTGGCAGGGGTTGCACCTCCCTGGGCCCAGGGAAGGGAACCGCAATCTCCAAGCCCCCACTGCCACCTCCACTGCAGAGGCGCCAGCTGCCAGGCCACCCGCCCCTCCCCTAGGATAATTGCCTGCAGTGCTCAGGAGGAGGGGGCTGATGCGTGTCCAAGCAGCTTAACCCCAGGAGCTCCAGCAACTACTCTAGATTATCCCAATCTACACAGATAAAGCCAGGCCCCTGGAAACTGCAGGCAGACACATGCCACAGCCACTGGAGTACACTAACAGCCGGGGCTCCTCCGCTCTGAGTTTTCCTAAGAAGAAGAGTGTCTTGGGGGCCGATCTCCGTGGAGCTGAGTGGGCTTCAGGCAGCCTCAGGAGTCATGTGTGTTTCTCCCTATGCCCACCCCAATGGGGACATTCCTAGGGGAGAAGGGGAAGGAGGCAGGCCCTGAGGCCTTGTAAATAAACGCCATCCACATGGAGGGCACGGCCCGCTGAGGACTGAAAGTACCATGGCCAGTCAATGACTCCGGGAGGCCGAGTGGGAGGTGAGGAGGCTGTGACTCTATAAACACAGCAGCACAGACCCCAGATGCCTCCCTCTGGCAAGATCATCACGTACTATCACTCGAGAGAGACAAGAGTCAGGTAGAAGGTAGAGACCTTGTATGCTGTTCCCTGATGCATCCTCTGGCTAGCAGTGCCTGACACACAGTAGGTGTGCAGTAAAGGTATGTTGGATGACTGAGCGATCTCCACCCTCATGGAGCTCGCAGTCTGTGTGGACAAGACACAGGGCAGGAGAACAGTGTAAGCACAGCCTGAAGAAATGAGGATCCAGCCTCTGCTTTCACACCTGTGATGACGGGGGTCTCACCACTTCCTCGACAGCAATGAACATGAAAGGCCTTCTTGGCAGTGAGGTCTTCATCCTGTCGCTCCTGAATCCAGGACTTCTAATAGCGTGCCCATGAAATTTACTGAATTAGGAAGGGAGGGAGGAAATATCCCTGCCTGGGGCCTCTGTTTTCTGGGCCCCCACCACCCCCCTCTGCCCCCTGCCCCAGGTCAGCCTTACAAACAAAGACCCCAACTCAGGGTCTGGGCTCTTCAGGCATCCACCCCCGAGTCCTGTTTTGGGAGCAGCGTCTTCAGCCACCTCCCTGGACGCCCCTCCCCCAGTAGGAGCCCACAGAGCCGGCAGGCGAGTCACCATCCTTGCCTCTCCATGGCGCTAAAAAAAGGTCTGATCCCCTCACAGCCCATCTCTGAAGGCCAGGCCAGGACCCACGAACTGGCACCACTCCAGCCCTTCTCAGCCACCACACTGAGCCCAAATCCAGGTGCCCAGCCTCCGGGCCTTTGCCCTGGAACTTCCGTCTTCCTGGAAGGCCCTCTCTCCCTGCCCCCATCCTGGCAGATGAAATCCCTAAAAGCCCACAGCAAATGCCGCACCCTCCAAGCAGCCCTCGCCCACCCTCGCAGGCACAGTCCCTCCACGCTGGTTTCGTGTCCCCAGAACCCTTCTCTCCATGGCCAGAGGACCTGAGACCCCCACGGCCCTGTGTTTTTGAGCCCCTGTGGGCGCGTGTCAGTGCCCAGCCTCTGTGAGAGGCCCTAGTGGTGGCTCAGCAGCTCTGGAGTCAGGCAGTCCAGAGTCTGAATGCCGCCTCTGCCCCATGTGCGCTGTGCCTCTGAGGGGCAGGTTTCTTAACCTCTCTGAGCCTCAGTTTTCTCACCTGTAAAGTGGAGCTAATCGTACCTTCCCACCAAGGTTGTTGTGAAGATTAGATGAGATAAAAGAGGTCTCATTCCTGGAGCAGAGCCTGGCACAAAGGCGGCTCTGATAAGCTGCAGCTATTGACAAGCATCTCAATAATGATAATCGTATCATCCCATTTGCATCTGGTGGGTTTTAATGAGTGCCAGTGGCTCACGCAGCTTAGGAGAAACTCGGGCACACCTGTGTCTGGGGTGAAAAGGCCAGCCAGAGAGACAAGCCAGGGCCGTGTTCTAGAGGGATCTTGGCAGCTGGCCATGCGTGCGGGAAGCAGAGGCAACGAGCAGCCCTGTCTGTCAGGCCTGAGCTCAGATTCAGGACGCAGGAATTATTCAAACACCCCTGTCCTAGCAGCCCCACACCAGAACTCTGCCCCTGGCCTGAGGCTCGGCATGGGTCAGCTGTGGCCGTGGAGCCTCTTGGCCGTAGGGACTCCAGGGTGGTGGCTCCCAGCTGCCTTCCATCTCCTAGGGCCCTGGGCTTCCAACAGATCCCACAAGCTGAGGGGGCCCCATAGCCCTGGTCTAAGCCAGCCCTCTGGGTGCCATGGCCCACTAGTGTAGACGGTGCTGGTGAGGGGAGGGAGACTGGGGAGCTCTGGGAAGATGGTCAGGCCAAAGCCCAGGGCAATCGATACGAAGAAGACCTTAAAATAGCACAGGCAGTGAGCCCATCTGACAGGCTGCCCTACTTCATCTCCCACTGACCCCGTAGACCCTCTGCAGCCTCTGTCCTACCACTCCCACCTACACCGGCCTCACCTCCACCTCCCTGAACGCTGCCCTGTCCCCTCCCTGCCCTGGGCCTGTGCCCCTGCTATTCCCTCTGCCTGGAGAGCCCTTCCTCAGCCCCGTATCTCAGAGCCTTCCGAGGTCAGCACTGAAGAGTCTCCTCGGCTGTGAGGCCATCACCCTCCAGGTAAGGCCCCACCCTTGCCTCTCTGTTCTCAGCCTCCTTCCACTGGGAAAGGTGGTGTCATCCCAGCTCAGAGCTGGACCACCTGCAGCTCTCCCGCTCACCTGTGTGCAGGCTGGGGCCTCGCTCACACTGGAGGCTTCTGCGCACAGGCCTGGAGTGGAGCAGGAAGTCAGGAAATGTTTGTAGCAGGCAGGAAAGAGGGGAGAAGGAAACTCACTCCCACCCAACAGATAACCAAGGAGGAAAACTAATGCCAAAGGTGTCACATGTTACAGTTTCTAGCCTTACCTGAAATAAAAGGAGGAAGGTCTCTGCCGGATCCCCCCAACACACATTGCAGCACACACAGCACATACACACGTGTGCACACATGAACACATACACTAACATACCACTAAGGGGCCAGGCGGTCATTCCAACACCTTTGCTTATGAGTGGCAAAATTCCACTTGGAGGGGAGGGGGTTCACAGGGGACCCTGGCAGGCTCCCTCCCACAGGCACCAGGTGCCCCATTGGTCACCAGGCCTGGCCACTGTGTGTCTGCCCCACCTTTCTCCCCCAGCAAAGCAGGTGGCTGTGCGCTCCCGACAGCCCTGGCTCAGCCAAGGACCTGCCAGCCTCTGCACATCACTAGTACTACTCCTGGGGGGCCTGGTGTCCAGCCCCCTCTGCCCACTATAGGGAGGGCTCATCATGTGTCCATGGAGGCCTTACCTCCAGCCTCCACTCCACTGTCTGCGGAGGGGCCTCATCTGACCAGCCCAAGGGGCCAGGGAATGCACAGCCCCCTCTGTGGCAGCAGTTTCGGCCGCATGGCCAGGCCTGGGATGTCTCCACATCTGTGGATCACCCCACTGCACAGGAACGTGACTGCATGGGGGGCCAGGCTGGAGGCCCAGGCCCGCTGAGGGCGTTGGACCCTGCACATTCCTCTCTACCAAGCTCACAGCAATCTTGCTTTACAAACTTGGAAGCTGATGCTCCAGGGCACTAAAGACCCAGACTGTGGGGCAGGCACACAAGGCCAGAGGCTCACTACGCCTGTGTCCCCAAGTCCACGTGAGCCAGTGCAGCAGAATCCATCAAGCCCCAAATGCACTGTCAATCCCACTGTTGGATCAATTGGCAAATCAACCCATAAAGGAGTTCAAGGTCACAACGACCTTCCTATTTACCCAGCCCCATAACCACCTCTATCAACTCATAAAATAGGAGTTTCAAGAAAACCTCAGAGTCGGCCAGGCGCGGTGGCTCACGCCTGTTATCCCAGCACTTTGGGAGGCCCAGGCAGGCGGATCACAAGCTCAGGATATCGAGACCATCCTGGCTAAGACGGTGAAACCCCATCTCTACTAAAAATACAAAAAAATTAGCCAGGTGTGGTGGCGGGCGCAGCTACTCGGGAGGCTAAGGCAAGAGAATGGCGTGAACCTGGGAGGCGGAGCTTGCAGTGAGCCGAGATGGCGCCACTGCACTCCAGCCTGGGCGACAGAGCGAGATTCCGTCTCAAAAAAAAAGAAAAAAGAAAACCACAGAGTCAAGTTCCACCCCACTGCAAAGGACTGAAAAGTTGTATCTCCACAAAGCTGTCTTTAAAAAGTCGTCCATCCCGCCCCCAAAGAGTGACCTCTGCACTCAAAGACTCCCATCTGCAGCATTCCTAAGAGGCAGCCCTAAGCGGCTTCTGGAATACCTCTAGGGATGGGGAGCTCACCTTGTCCTTTTTTAAAACACAGCTTTATCAAGGTATAATTCACACACCACACAACCCACTCAGCTCAAATACACAAATCAGTGATATTTAGTTTAATCACAGACTGGTGCAACCATCACCACACTTAATTTCAGAACATTTTCATCACCAAAAAGAAACCCTGGGCTGGGCGCGGTGGCTCACACCTGTAATCCCAGCACTTTGGGAGGCCGAGGCGGGTGGATCACGAGGTCAGGAGATCGAGACCACCCTGGCTAACACGGTGAAACCCCGTCTCTACTAAAAATACAAAAAAATAGCCGGGCGTGGTGGCGGGCGCCTGTAGTCCCAGCTACTCGAGAGGCTGAGGCAGGAGAATAGCCTCCCGGGCGGGAACCCGGGAGGCGGAACTTGCAGTGAGCCAAGATCGCACCACTGCACTCCAGCCTGGGCAACAGAGCAAGACTCTGTCTCAAAAACAAAAAAACAAAAAAAAAACAAAAAAAGAAACCCTGTTCCTATTGGCTATCAGCTCTCTACTCCCTCGGCCTCCTCCACCCAGCCCCTGCCACCACTAATCTGCTTTCTGTCTCTACAGTTTTCCCTATTCTGGACATTTTGCCTAAATGGAATCGTATAATATGTGGACTTTTGTGAATGGCTTCTTGCATCTAGCATGTTTTTAGGGCTCACCCATGTTGTAACATGTATCAGGACTTCATTCTTTACACGGCTGAATAATATTCCACTGTGTGGAGAGACCACAGTGTGTTCATTCATCAACTGACGGACATTTGTGTTGTTTCCACTTTCTGGTTATTATGAATAATGCTGTTACAAACATTTAAGGATGAATTCTGTAGGTTTTCATCTCTCCTAGGTAGAGGCCCTGGAGTGGAATTGCCGGGTCACAGGGTAATACATGTCTAACTGCTCGAGGCGCTGCCGGACTGTCTTCCAAAGCAGTTACAGCATTTCACATTCTCACCCACAATGCATGAGGGCTCGTTTCTCCACGTCCTCATCTCCTCATCAACAGTTGTCATTGTCTGACTTTTTGAGTAGAGCCATCCTGGTGGTGTTAGTGGCACCTCCTTGTGGTTTTGATTTACCTTTCCTTGGTGGCTAATGACGGCAAGCATCTTCTCACATGTGTACTGGTCACTGGTGTATCTTGTCTGGACACATGTCTATTCCAGTCCTTGGCCCATTTTAAAATCAGGTGATTTTTGTCATTGCTTTGACTGCTTTTTAGTTGGGTTGTCCTTTTGTTATTGAGTTATAACAGTTCTTTACACATTCTAGGTCCAAGCCCCTTATCGTATATATGATTTGCAAATATTTTCTTCTTTTCTGTGTTGTCTTTTCATTTTCTTGATAGCATTCTTTGAAGCATAAAAGCTTTTAACTCTGATGGAGTCCAATTTATCTACTTTTTCTTTTGTTGCTCATGCGAATCATATTCCATTGTAGGGACAGACCACGTTCCTCTGTCATGGACACTTTCTTTGCTTCCACCTTTGGCTATTGTGAGTGATGCTGTTGTGAACATGGGTGTGCACATATCTGTTTGAGGCCCTGCTTTCAATTCTTTTGGGTCTACACTGAGAAGTGGGATTGCCGGATCATAGGGGAATTGTATTGTATGTTTAACTCCTTCGGGAACCACCACACCGTTTCCCACGGCGGCTGCACCACTTTTCCTCCCCCCAGCAATGGAGCCACAGAGGTTCTTATTTCTCCACATCCTCACCAACCAGAGAATGGCCTCTCGCAACAGACGCTGGGGGCCAAGCTCCGTGGTAGAGGCCGTCGAAAGCACTCCAAGGTCAAACAGGCTTGGGAAACAGTGAGCACGTTTCTTTCCCACAAGACTCCTCAGAGTGCTCGATGTGCCAATGAGCTCAGGACCCACAAAGGGCGACGTGCGTGGGGCCCCAGACCCTCTGCTTCCTTTACGGCTGCTGAGGAACCGTGCTCTGAGGGGCAGCCTGGGGACTGGCTGGTCCCCCATGGCACAGGCCCACAGCAGGGTAAACTCAGAAAGCAAGAGGCAGCGCACATACTCAACTCCAGCCCCTCAGCGCCCTGGCATCTCACGCAGGAGTATCCACTTACCAAGGTGTCAATCGTGATGGACGGGAAATAACAAAAAGGGGTCTTTCGTCAGACAGGTTGAGAACTGTGGTTCCAGAAGGCCCTGCTATCGAGGTTTGGGCAGGGTTGGCGGGGAGGTGTGACCCATCCAGACCCCCAGCTTGCCCGGCCAGTGGGCACAGGGCAGCTGCTGTGCCTGACTCTCCACACTCCCTCAGTAATGCCCCAGAATGTCAGCTTTTCATGGAAACGTCAATGCTTCCTGCATAATTGGCTTCTTCCCAGTTAGAGGCCTGAGCTCTGGGAGGAAATCATGGAAAGATACAAACTCAGGTTTAGAAGGGATCCCAAAGGCCCAAACCCTCCCACAAGGATGGAGCTCCTCCAGATCGCAGGGAGGCCCCCAGGTCTCTGCTTCCCCACCTCCAGAGATGGGAGCACACCACCTCCTGGCACAGCCTCTACCCCTGGGTGCCCAGCAGAGTCCTCCCTGCCGCAGAGTTTTTCTTGAGGCAGAACTCCTATCAGAGGGAAGCTGGGGATGGGGGACAGGTGGGCAGGTCCCACCCTCCCAGCAGAAGGGAAGGAAAAACTGGCCTCCCAGTTCCCCACATCCACCTTCCCCATGCACCTATTGGCCAGATCTGAGAACGCAAGCTCCTGCTTACAAGAGACATACTGGGGACACACGGGGACCACGGCGACTGCAGAGGAAGTCAAAGCAAAGGCGTTAGCAGGAAGAGGAAAATCTGATTCATTTTTGGGCCGCATTCCAGACTTTATACCTGGCCCATCTCAGCATTTTCTGAATGGACAGACTCAGAGGAGGGAAGGAAGGGGACATCTTGTGCCCTAGAAATTCACTGCCCAGAGCTCCCTCCTAAGGCGCTGTTGGTTTGGAGTCACAGGACATTAATGAGCTTTGGAAGGGAATGTTGGTCAGCACAAAGCAGTGGCTCAGAGCCAGGCTCTGAGCCCAGGGGTTGGGGCCGAGTCCTCCCTCAGCCCCAGAGCTGCTGGGTGACCTTGAGCAAGTTGCTGAATCTCTCTGAACCTCTGGTTCCTTATCTGAGAAATGGAGGCAATGAGGAGGCCAACCTCGGGAGGCTGCCGGGAGGCTTCAGTGGCAAAGGCAGGAAGAATACGCCATCCAGGGCCGGTGCAGAGCAAGAGCCTGCCACAGGGGCCAATAGAGCTGACATCAACCTCCCCACCAGGGATGAGTCCCCTCTATGGCCCAGGCCAATCAGAAGGAGGGAGAAGACAGAGGTCCTGCCCGAGCCCAGGAGGTCAGCAGGAAGAAAGAAGCCCCCACACCCAATTATAAGGCCCTGAGAGGAAGGGTGGAAGGGCCTGGGAGGAGAATGACTTCTGCCTTGGGGATCAATGTGGGCATCACTGGTCTCCCAGTTCTGGGCCCTGGGCCTGGCCCAGGCAGGGACCGCCTGCTGTCCAGGGTGCAATGGGAGAAGGGGCATTGGGCAGACTGCTGGGGGGCTTCAGCCTCGTGACATCCTCTCAGCCAATCCACTTTTCCTTTAGGGTCCTGAGTGCTGAAGCAGCCCCGTGCGCTTCCTCTCCAGTGCTGCACGGGGCACACAGAGCATCTGATCTCTGCAGTGCCCACCAGGGCGTGTCTTGGGGTTCAACTCGACTTTCAGCACCACAGGCCTAACCTAGGCCACCATCCACAGAGAAGGACCCAGGACAGGAGCACAGCCTGCCAGGATGCCAGGAGGGTAGCTTCGAGTGTTCCTCTTCTGCAGTTCCCCACACAGCCACATGGGAACCATCTCCATTGTCAATCACCCCCCAACCCCCGTGACCACACAGGTGCAAAGAGACCAGAGACACATCAGGCAGGTATGGGAGCTGCCCTGGCTTAAAAGCCTCATGCCCCTCAGGAGCCAACACCTCTACTAACAATTCCATCAGCAAAGTGTCCCGGACACCCCACAGGGACGTGTCCAGCACAGAGTAACTGTGCTCTGTGAAGCCCAAGCCTGGTGGCCCAGCAGGTACTCATAGCCCCCCTGCCCAGATACCATTGTGCCATTAGCAATACTGCCCAGCAGCAGCGGGACATTCTGCTTTTACCTGGTTCCCAGGGAAACAGAGCTAGAAAGTTAACCCAAGATCAAATTCTCATGCAGGGCAAAGGGTTTTGTTATCATAGTCCGCCCCATGACTTTTGGTCAACACCTTTACATGGATACCAATGCATTTTACGACCACCAGGAGTTGTATAACCCAATGGGGCATGAACGTCCCTTTTGTCCTCTAACCAAGTGGACTTCCCCCGTGGTCAGTTAGTTTTATAGCCCCATGGTGCCTTTTGATCCTGGGATGAAAGGCAATGGTACGTCGGATAACACTAAATGTGTTTAATGCACCAAAGATGGAACACTGTTTTACCAGAAGCCACTGAATGAATGACATGAAAAGTCACCTAGAGATGTGATTGTCTGTGATTCTGTTATGATTTGGGCCTGTTTTTCTCTCTCTGGAACATATGGGCTGTGTTAAAATGAAAGTTCATCATAAATAGGACTCAACAAGCATACATTCACTTGGCAGGTGGTAAGTACCAGAAAGCCTTCTAGTCACCCATTCAACAAATATGTATCAGGCCCCTAACATGTGCTAGACACAGGCTGGGAGAGATGAAGAAAATAAAGAATAGATCCCTGCCATGAAGAAACTCAAGGATAAGTGAAGATTCATAAACACACATAAATAGATCACTTTTAAGGACTCTGAGAAAGGTATATCCACAGGACAATGGAAGCAAAGAAGACAGAGAAATTAACCCTACTTGGCGGAGGGTCAATTTAGGTTGGGTTTTGAAGAATGAATGAGAGTCCTCTATGTGAAAGGACATTCTAATCAGAGGAAACAGCATGAGCAAGGGAATGGAAGTAGGAAAGAGAATCAAAAGGGAGAAAAGATTTGGTGATCTAGTGTACAGAGTACAAGAAGAAGGTAGAAAAGCTATTTAATTTAATTCATCAAACTTTAATTTTTTTTCTTTTCTTTTGAGACAGGGCCTTGCTGTGTTGCCCAGGCTGGAGTGCAGTGGTTTGATTTAGGCTCACTGCAACCTCTGCCTCCTGAACTCAAGCAATCCTCCCACCTCAGCCTCCCGAGCAGCTGCTACCACAGGCATGAGCCACCATGCCCGGCTAATTTTGGTATTTTTGGTAGAAATGGGGTTTGCTCATGTTGGCCAGGCTGGCCATGAACTCCTGAGCTCAAGCAATCCTCCCACCTTGGCCTCCCAAAGTGTTGGGATTACAGGCGTGAGCCACCACATCTAGCTTCATCAAAGTTTAATTGAAGCAGCAATATAGATTAGGGACTAAGAACACTGACTCTGAAACCAGTCGGCATGGGTTTGAATCTCAAGTCTGCTATTTAGTACTTGCATTACCTTGTGTTAGTTATTTCATCTCTCTGTGCGTCAGTTTACTCATCTTTAAAATGATAGTCATACCTACCTCAGGTCATTGTTCATTTATTTAACAAATATTTATTGAGTATCTACTATGTGCCAGGAATTGTCCTAGGCACTAGGGACACATCAGAGAACAAAACAAAAATTCCTGCCCCCCAGGCCAGGGGTGGTGGCTCACACCTGTAATCTTAGCACTTTGGGAGGCCAAGATAAGAGGAACACTTAAGGCTGGGAGTTCAAGGCTACAGTGAGCTATGATCATATCACTGCACTCCAGCCTGGGTGACAGAGACCCTGTCTCAAAACAAAAAAAAAATTATTGCCCCTTTTCAGCTCATGTTCTAGTGGGGATACTGGAGGGGCAAGAGGAAGAGCAATAAGATATGAGGTCAGAGAGGTGACAGTGACACATTGTGCAGGGTCTGTGCCCACCCTGAGGACCCTGGTTGTCACCTGGGTGAGGTGGGTGCTGTGGGAGGGTGCTGAGCAGAGGAGGGGCCAGGGCTGACAGGCAGAGCAGGGAGACCGTTCATAATGCTACAACCAGGGGAAAGCTGGTGGTGCCGGGGCCAGGTGGGGCAATGGACGGCTGGAGGGGCAGATTCCGAAGGGGTCCACCAGGTTTCGCTGATGGCTGACAGGGTTGTGGAGACAGACAGCAAAGTGGGGACTTTCCGGGCGGCATCTCACAAGAAGACGTTCACACGTTGGGAGCAGAGACCACTGCCCTGGCTTGGAGCTGCAGGAGGCAGGCTAAGCTCACGTGGATGCCGAGGCCTGAGGCTGGATCCCCAACCTTGATGCCACCCCCGCCCCAGCTCACCTAGAACCCCCTCACCATCCCCAGCACCTTAGCCTCAGTTTCCAAACAGGGTGAAGGGCCGGCGATGGTTCCCCTGAGGCCCTCGGCTGTCCCTGCTGTCTATGCGCCTCCTGCTCTCAGGCCTGGGAGCTGTGATTTACTCTCCTGACCTCCAGGCAGCCCGGCTCCTGCTGATAAATGCACTGAAAAGTCCATCTTTTCCACCTCCAGCCCTGCTGGGAGTGCCCAGGTGCCGTCACCTGGGAACAGCTGATGACGCGAGCTAAGAAGTTCAGAGTTGCTTTTGCTTTACAAAGCGCATAGGAACACATTGTGCTAAGAACGTGCCGGAAGCCTCAAGGTCACTAAAGATCCCCATTTACCAGACCGGAAACAAAGGAGCAGGGGAAGGAAGCACACACGTGGGGCTTCGTGGGCTGGAACTGCATGACCTCGGCAAGTCACTTCCCTCCCAGAGCCACTCTTTCCCAGGTTAGCTGGAGACAGCCACAACCTACAGGTAGGCGTGGTAGGAATTAAAGACAGCAGGCACCAAATGTGTGCTTAATGGGAGACATTATAGTAACTATTTTATTAATCTTAGATTAAACTACTTCTTGCAACTTTGAAAAGAAACCAAAATCTTATTTTAGCTTGCAAAGGCTTTAACATCTTAAGATTTTTTTGAAATCTTTAAAAACCTTACCAAATCCCTTTGCTGGGCCTGCAAGGAGTGGCGGGATCTGGCCCTACTCACTTCCCCTTTCTCAGCTCCTTCCTCTCACCCCTGCCCTCTGTGCTCCAGCCTTGCTGACCTCTTAGCTCTCCAAACAAGGAAACTTATGCTCACCTCAGGGCCTTTGCACATGCTGTTCCCACTGCTAGAAACACTGTTCCCTCCACTCCGTACTGACAAGCTCCCTCCCGCACCTCCTTCAGGGCTCAATGTAAATGCTACTTCCTTGGCAAGGCCTTCCACACTGCTCCACCTTAGTTTAGTCTATCTCCTCTGTTTTCTCCTCCTGGCACTTAGGATGATCTCTGATCGGTCTGAGAACTCCGCAACAGCATCTGTCTGTCTTTTCACCACTAGAGCCCGGCCTGGTGTCTGCCACACAGTACAGACTATGGAACGAATAAATAAGACTATGACATGGGCTGGCACCACTGGCATACACACACACACTCTCATACACACCCTCACACAGTTGGCACAGCACAGAACAGAGTAACATCAAATCCTGACTGCCTGGGTTCAAATCTCACCTTTGCCCTAAACAGCATTTGGATGAGTTACCCGCAAATTTGAAAGCTGTGATGTTGTTTTGGTTTGTCAAGGTCTTAGTATCATGATGTTCTCTAACAACCGCATGCCCTTTGCTGTACACATGAGACTACGATGACAGGGCCTGGCTTATAACGACTACTGTGTAAATGTCACTGTTCGTGAGGTCATCAGTGTTACGATCACCCCAGGCACTCAGAGATTGCTCAGCCTTCAAATGCTTGTTGAGTGTACAAGGGTCCAGGCAGTATTGACACCTGAGGGACCCTCATCCCCAAAGTGGATTTTAAAGACAGCAGCACACTGGGGAGACGAGAGACCTCACACAACACTCCCACCCTCTCCCCCAGCCCGCCTCTTGCTTCCTGGTCCTGTTCTCTTGGGGAGAAGGAGAATCTTATCTGGCTGGTCAAACTCCAGGACCATCCCTGGCCACCATCAGTAATGGGCAGGGTCATCGCATGTTCAAGGCTGTGCACACAGAGCCCTGGCCATGCATGAGGGTGAGGCCTTCTGGACCTTCCTCAGGCTCCTTAGGAACCCACAAGGAAGCTCCCTGAGGGGTGTTGATGGGGCATCTGCACCCATAGATTCACTGCCTGACACAGAAACACCAGGTTCCTGGGAAACTGGAACCTGCCTTATGAAAGCTCCCATTCCCATCACCCCCTCCATCCCTCAGGGCTGTGTTTTGCCGTCAACCCTCCCCTGACCCCCAGGACACCTGCCTTGCCCAGAAGCACCCCTTCAACATGGGCCTGGATGAAGGCTCACTCCTCTGTCAGGCCTCTGAGGGGGACCGCTTTGTGCCGCTGTTATCAAAAGGGGAAACCATCGCAGCAGAAAGGCCAGTGCCGCACTAGACAGCCAGGAGCCCAGCAGCACAAGTAGCCCCCTAAGGCGCTTTGAGGACCACACCCCCGTCACTCTGACCCCAGCACAGCCTGGTTCCTAGGACTTCGGGACCTTCCTGGGGACCTCTCAGCATGATTAACATAGGCAAATGGGACCTGAAGGGGCCACTTGTCCTTCTGAAAATGCTCACCGGGCAGTGTGAGTGTGGGGAGGCCATGCACAATGCGTAGGACTCTGCCCCTGCACCTGCTCAGAGCCTCAGCCCTTCAGAGCCACTGCTAAAGATTTGCTGCGGGTGGGGTCACTCAGATTCTTCTCTGAGGTCTCTTTTCCTTTCAGTTTTTCTGAGTAACTGAGAGGATCACATGACTGCATGCCGCCTAAATTAGAGTGTGCACAGCCCCCGTTCTGTGCAGGGAGGGCGCAAAGCAGCAGAGTGTCTGTGACCCATCTGCCACCTTTCCAATGCTACTACAAGATTTGGAAGAAACAGTCGTTTATCAGGAGTCATCTTTATTAAAAAAGATAAAATAGAGCAGGGCAGGGGAGAAGTGCTGCAGGAAATAGTCCAGGCTCTGGCGTTGCTCCAGGTAGGGTGGAGGGGCCCTCTGGTCTCCAGGAAGCTCCAGGCTGTCCTTCAGTTCACCCCTTGGGATAGGATGCCTTTGAAGCCACGGCAGTGTGGACATCTTGCCTGGCCCCTACCTGCAGCTGTTGGAGTACACGCATGACTGACCTGTCAGGTTTCAATGTTCTTGGACCTCAGGGCCTTCGTCCTCTCTAATGTAAATGCAAAAAGACATTTGACATGGACTCTCTCAGGTGTTTTGCAATGCAGTACATTCCCATTGACTCTGGTCACCCTGCTGTGCACGGGATGTCAAAACCTCCTCCTCCTGTCCATCTGAGATTTTGGTCCTTTGATGGACAACCCCCCATTTCCTCCCCGTGCCACTCCCCGGCTCCTGTCACCATCGATCTACTCACGACTTCTGTGAGGTCAACTTTTTCTGATCAACATTTCTGTGACATCATGTGGAACTGGTCTTTCTGAGGTGGTGGAGATGCTAAGTAGCATGATTTCCTCATTCCACGGTGCACACATCTATCTAATCATCACATTCTACCCCATAAATGAATACGAGCATGATTTGCCAATTAAAACAATACTAATAAAAACATAATAAATAAAATGCAGGAAGTGCGGCTTGACCACCCTACCTACTTGATTTTTGTCTTCACCACAGCCATTCAACTACTTTGTTGGGGTGATCTTATTTGTAAGAGTTTTCTGTGCTGGGCACAAGCAACACATTTGTAGAAGAAATGAAAGGCATATTCTGGCAGCCCTGTGGCAGCCCCAGGTTCTTGTGGATGAGGCTGACTTCACAGCCTCTGGCTGCCCAGTTTGGAGGAATCTGGCTTCCTGCAGTGGTTGTCGCTGGGCCAGGGTTTTTTCTGGGTCTCTTCCACTACTGCTGGTGCTCTGGGTAGAGGAGGAGCCCACAGGGTCATGCTGGGGTTTTCACTAAAACTGTCTGGCTTCCTCTACAGGATGGCAAGTGCACTGGCAGGAATGGTGGTCTTCTGCCCTGACTTCTGGCCGTTCTCCGACAGCTGAATATTGAATATGGGACAAATTGGCTCGCTGTGAGCCTGCTCCAGTGGGAGAGGGAAGGTGGAAACTTCAGCAGATGGAGAAGGAGAGGTGGGAACTCCAGGAAGAAGAGACAGTTTTCTGATGGTAGAGTGCTTCCTTTTTGTTTTGTGTGCTCTAAAATGAGGTAGGTGGCCATGGGATAGTTGAATGTTTTTTTTTTTTTTTGGCACTGAGATGTTCTCAGCCTTGAATCCCATGGCCACCGTGAGCTGAGTTGTTGGAGTTCGGGTGGTCCAGGAGTGGCTCTTTGTACGATATCAATGAGATCTCTGGCCACTGTTCACCCACGGGCCCCTCATCAGTTGTTCCAGTAGGGATCGCTCCCTAACGTTTAGCATTAAGTACTTTTTAATAAATCTTTCAATTTGAAGAGGGAAAAAATGGTGGGGAATAGTATTGTCCTGTGATAATTTTTTTCCTCAGGTCCACCAGGTTCCCTGAGTAGAAGGTCAGGGCCCCGGCCACCATGGAATAGAGAATGACATGGAGGTTCCATACGTCCATCACAGGGCACTGATACACCTGGCCCAGGGAGAGTTCTGGGGCAGGAATTGTGGCTTTCTGCCCTGACTTCTGACTCTCCTTGGGCAGCCAAAACTTAAAAGTGTGAACAGCCGGCTCCCTTTGAGCTGTCTTTGGTTCCACAAGGAAGATGGACTTTGTCGGATGGGGAAGAGCAGGAGGGACACCCAGAAGGAAGGAACTGTGCTTAAATGACGGAGCCCTTCCTCCTCTGCACTTTTCCTGTACCCCAGGATTACGTAGGTGGCCATGGGATAATCAGATACTTATTTTTTGTAGGGTGGGGGAAATACTGATTCCGAGATGTGTGCTGCCTGGCATCCCATGGCCACCATGACCAGGGTTGTAGGGGGCCCAGGTGCCCAGGGTCTCTGGTGTCAGCAGCGTCTCCTGGCCAGCAATTGACCCAGGGGTCCCACATCAGCTGGTTTAGTGGGGGCCGCTCCCTGGAGTCGAGGGTGAGGAATTGTTTTACCAGTGTTTCCAGTGGAAGTGAAGAAATAGGTGGGGAGTCATATAGCCTGAGGTGGGAAGGGACCACGGGTAGGGCTGGATGTTCTTTCAGCCTCCCTGGCAGAGATCACAGATAAGAGTGGTCAGCTTGGCCAAGATTCTGTGGTGGCTGGCTGTGATGTGGGGGAGGGAGGCAGTCCCCAGAGCAGGAATGCCTTCCCAGGAGCCCCTGTCCTTGCAGGGGAGGAGCCGGCCATCCTCCCCTCAGAGCCTCCTTCACTGCAGCCCGTAGGGGGCGGGGGCGAGTGACCTGGAGGATCCCTGCCCCAGGGGCAAACCTCTGGGCTCTGGCTTCAGCCCCACCCCCGGGAAACATTCACAGCCCCTCCGGAGGACAGCCCTGCTGCAGGAAGACTCTAGGGCAGGCCCAGCTGCGAGGGTCCTGGGCTGTTGGTGACAGTACCCCAGGCTTCAAACTCTCCGGGCCTGGGGGCAATTCCTTTCCCTGGGTACAACAGATTCCCACCCCGCCCTGCCCTTCTGCTCACCCCACGGGGAAGTGGCCCAGGAGTGGAGGCGTGGACAGGCATCCCAATGTCTCGAGTCAGGGTCAGCGTGGACAGCATGGCCCCCGAGGGGCAGACAGGGTGCAAGGGTAAGGTGCCAGGCTCCAGGGCAGCCCCTGACAGGCGGTCTGGCGGCCTCGGGTCTCCGTGGAGACGGGGCTTCCAACGGCCATCGGCCCCGCCCAACCTGGGCAAAGAGACCCAGCCTGGGCTGGGAGGCCGAGACAGGGACCCCCCACCCCCACCTGCAGCAGAGCCTGACCCCTGCGGGCGGCCGGGGCCGTCTCCCTCCAGGCGCTGCTGCGCCCACACGGGCGGGCGCCCTCTGCAGGTCCCGCAGCTCCTGGTCCCGCTCAGCGCCTCCAGATGCCTCACCCGGGCCCTCTCCGTTGGGTCCCCGGGGCCTCAAAGCGCTGGCCAAGCAGCGAGGTCACTCCCCTGAGCCACCTGTCCTTCCCATGGGTCCTTTGGACCCCTGGGTTTTAGAGTTTGTCTTTCCTAAGTGCCGCCTGCCCGAACGCGGCTGCCCCAGGACTGCGGCTGTCCCAGGATCACAGCCAACCCAGTGCGGCTGCCTCCCCTGCAGGCCACCCATCAAGGGCACAGGCAACAGGAACTCCAAGACGCAGCGGCCCGCCCTGCTCGGGGCTGACCCTCAGAATGGGAGAGGCCACGAACTCGGGTCCTCTCCCCTTCCTCAAGGCTCCTTTCTCACCTGGGGTGAAGGGCTCCCAATCCCAGTACCTCAGGGACCTTCCTGTTTCATTTATACCAACAAATAATCATTTGATGTTCTGGGACAGACAAGACAGACACGCTGGCCCCCAGTGGGCGAGAGAGACTAGTCTATCAGCACAGAAAATTCCCAATAGGGACAGGGGCTAGGAAGGAAACACCAGGAAAAGTGAGGGTGGAAGACGGGGGTGACCCTACTGCAGATGGGGTGCTCAGGGAGGGTTTCTCTGAGGAGGTGACATTAACTAGACTGACAAAAGGGACGGGCAGGGCCTGTGAAAGTCTTCTAAGAGAGGGAACGGCAATGCCCAGTGGGCTGTCCTAGGGAAGGAAATAGGACAGCAAGGTGGTGGGGGGGGGATGTGAGCCTGGCAGGCGGGACCCAGACACCATGTGATGGGTGCAGGGGTGGGACCCACAGAGGCTCTGAGAAAGCCCTGGGCCTCAGAACACGGGGAAACAGGAGGACCCACTTAGAGGCCTTCACAACCTTCTAGGGTACAGACAGTGCAAAATGGCTTAGGCCAGAATGTGGTTTAGGTTTCAGAAGGGTGCTGGGTCCCCCACGCTCTTCTTGAGGCTAAAGGGCTCCAGCTCCTTAGGCCATTTCCACATGGTTCTGGGGCCCCACAGACAGCCTTCTGACGGTTTTCTTCTGTGGCCAGGCAGGGGTTGTGGGGCGACCCGCCCCTCACTTGTCCAAGTGGACAGATGAAGGGAGCCTCTAGGAGCAGGATCGCTGGATTGGGAATTAGACTTGGAGCGTAATCCAAATGCCCCACGGGCCCTGCCTCTTTTCTGGAGCTCAGCTTCTTCAAGAAAACTGGGGACAAGAGATGGCAAGACTAGCTCTCAGGACCCTTGCCCCTCCACCCCATGATACTTTCAGATGGTTCTCAGGGGCCACCTTTTTCAGGAAGAATCGGGCTACAGGAAAGTAAAGGGAGGAAACGTGTTTTGAGTGGCACTTAAGTCAGGCTCTAGACTAGGTGTTGGTTTGGTGGGGCTTGCTTTTCCTCCTGCCCCAGCCCGCTTCACAAAACCTGAGTCCTGGCTAGGCTGGGAGTGAGATTCCTGTTTCTAGATTTTCATCATTCTGTGTAGCACAAAACAAGGTCGGGGGGGAAAGGAGACAGATATTAGCAAGTATATAAAAGATAATTGGCTGGGCATGGTGGCTCACGCCTGTAATCCCAACACTTTGGGAGGCAGAGGCGGGCAAATCACCTGAGGTCAGAGGCGGGCGAATCACCTGAGGTCAGGAGTTTGAGTCCAGCCTGGCCCGTATGGTGAAATCCTGTCTCTACCAAAAATACAAAAATTAGCCCGGCATGGTGGTGCATGCCTGTATTCCCAGCTACTTGGGAGGCTGAGGCAAGAGAATGGCTTGAGCCCAGGAGGTGGAGTTTGCAGTGAGCTGATATTGCACCACTGCACTTCAGCCTGGGGGACAGAATGAGATTCCATCTCAAAAAAAAAAAAAAAAAAAAAGATAATTTAGCCAGAGAAAACCTAAAAGAGGAATCAGGATGGGGGGATTAGGAATGGCAGAGTAAGAGCTGGGGGAGAGGAAGTTAGGGAAGGGGCTGGAACAAACAGAAAGGAGGTGGGGGAGGGGACCAGGGAAATAAAGTCCAAGAGGTCAGCAGGGATCAGAAGCCACAGGCTTAGTGGGGGCCTCAGGAGAGCAGCAAGCTGCGTCTATCTTGGAAAAGTGGAGAGAGGACTGCAGTGACCTCAGCGGGGAGGAAATGGGAGGTAGCAGGGCAGAGGAAGCAGCGGACAGACAGGAGGAAGAGATGGTGCCCTGGGTCAGGTGGCGGCCACCGCTACCATCACCAGAAGTAGAAAACTCTGTGTTCTCCTTACCTCTGTCACCATGACACCCCCATGCTTTCTGCCCCCACCTTCTTTAGTAATAGATGCTGGCAACTAAGGAGCAGAATCTGATTTGAGGTTGCCGAGGAAACCATCAGGGGCAGCTGTGAACCCACCAGCCTTGCCCAGTAGGGAGCTCAGGATCCCTAAATTGGATGAGCAAATAAGCTTCTGCAGGCCTTGCTGTCCAGGCAAATAAGACGAGGGCAGGGCCATGTGGTGGAGGTGGGTCTCAAACAGGACTCCCAAGGGCACAGGCCCTGCCCAGCCTTGGCACCCAAGGCAGAGCTCGTCAGCCCTGGGCCCCTGTGGGCTGCTGTGGCCACCTCCCTTCAGGCAGTGCTGCCCCCACAGGGACAGGTGACCTCTGCGGGCCTCTCATTTTCCAGTGGTGCTCAGTGTATCCAGATGCCTCATGCAGGCCCTCTCTGCTGGGTACCCAGGGGCCTCAAAGCGCTGGCCCCACCACCAGGACACTCCTTTGAGCCTCCCGACCTTCTCATGGGTCCTTTGGAGCCTGGGTTTTGGAGTTTGTCCTTCCTAAAGTGCTGCCCACCTGAACGCAGCTGCCCCAGGACCACCGCTGACCAAATGCGGCCACGTCCCCTGCAGGCCACCCATCAAGGGCACAGGTGACAGGTGCCCCCAAGGGGCCGTGGCCTGTCCTGCCCAGGGCTGACCCCTCGGGGTAGGGAGAGGGCACTAACTCAGGTCGTCTACCTGCCTCAAGGCTCTTTCCTCACCTGGGGTGAAGGGCTCCCAATCCTTGCACCTCAGGGGTCTTCCTGTTTTACTGATGCCAACAAAAGAACATTGACCATCTCCCGTGTGCAGGGACAGAGAAGACAGACACGTTGGCCCTGGGTGGGTGAAGGAGACTAGTCTATCAGAGTGAAAACTCCCCATGGAGATAGGGGCTAAGAAGGAAACACCAGCCCTCTCCCTCTCCCTCTCCCTCTCCCTCTCCCTCTCCCACGGTCTCCCTCTCCCACGGTCTCCCTCTCCCTCTCTTTCCACGGTCTCCCTCTGATGCCGAGCAGAAGCTGGACTGTACTGCTGCCATCTCGGCTCACTGCAACCTCCCTGCCTGATTCTCCTGCCTCAGCCTGCAGAGTGCCTGCAATTGCAGGCGCGCGCCGCCATGCCTGACTGGTTTTCGTATTTTTTTGGTGGAGACGGGGTTTCGCTGTGTTGGCCGGGCTGGTCTCCAGCTCCTAACCGCGAGTGATCCGCCAGCCTCGGCCTCCTGAGGTGCCGGGATTGCAGACGGAGTCTGGTTCACTCAGTGCTCAATGGTGCCCAGGCTGGAGTGCAGTGGCGTGATCTCAGCTCGCTACAACCTCCACCTCCCAGCTACCTGCCTTGGCCTCCCAAAGTGCCGAGATTGCAGCCTCTGCCCGGCCGCCACCCCGTCTGGGAAGTGAGGAGCGTCTCTACCTGGCCGCCCATCGTCTGGGATGTGAGGAGCCCCTCTCCCTGGCTGCCCAGTCTGGAAAGTGAGGAGCGTCTCTGCCCGGCCGCCATCCCATCTAGGCAGTGAGGAGCGCCTCTTCCCAGCCGCCATCACATCTAGAAAGTGAGGAGCCTCTCTGCCCAGCCGCCCATCTCTGAGATGTGGGGAGCGCCTCTGCCCCGCCGCCCCGTCTGGGATGTGAGGAGTGCCTCTACCCGGCCGCGACCCCGTCTGGGAGGTGAGGAGCGTCTCTGCCCGGCGGCCCCGTCTGAGAAGTGAGGAGCCCCTCTGCCCGGCAGCCGCCCCATCTGAGAAGTGAGGAGCCCCTCCGCCCGGCAGCCACCCCGTCTGGGAAGTGAGGAGCGTCTCCGCCCAGCAGCCACCCGTCCGGGAGGGAGGTGGGGGTCAGCCCCCGCCAGGCCAGCCGCCCCATCCGGGAGGGAGGTGGAGGGGGTCAGCCCCCCGCCCTGCCAGCCGCCCCGTCCGGGAGGGAGGTGGGGGGAACAGCCCCCCGCCCGGCCAGCCGCCCTGTCCGGGAGGTGAGGGGCGCCTCTGCCCGACCGCCCCTACTGGGAAGTGAGGAGCCCCTCTGCCTGGCCAGCCGCCCCGTCCGGGACGGAGGTGGGGGGGGTCAGCCCCCCGCCCGGCCAGCCACCCTGTCCGGGAGGTGAGGGGTGCCTCTGCCCGGCCGTCCCTACTGGGAAGTGAGGAGCCCCTCTGCCCGGCCAGCCGCCCGTCCGGGAGGGAGGTGGGGGGGTCAGCCCCCCACCCGGCCAGCCGCCCCGTCCGGGAGGGAGGTGGGGGGATCAGCCCCCCGCCCGGCCAGCCGCCCCGTCCGGGAGGGAGGTGGGGGGGTCAGCCCCCCGCCCGGCCAGCCGCCCCGTCCGGGACGTGAGGGGCGCCTCTGCCCGACCGCCCCTACTGGGAAGTGAGGAGCCCCTCTGCCTGGCCAGCCGCCCCGTCCGGGACGGAGGTGGGGGGGTCAGCCCCCCGCCCGGCCAGCCACCCCGTCCGGGAGGTGAGGGGTGCCTCTGCCCGGCCGTCCCTACTGGGAAGTGAGGAGCCCCTCTGCCCGGCCAGCCGCCCGTCCGGGAGGGAGGTGGGGGGGTCAGCCCCCCACCCGGCCAGCCGCCCCGTCCGGGAGGGAGGTGGGGGGATCAGCCCCCCGCCCGGCCAGCCGCCCCGTCCGGGAGGGAGGTGGGGGGGTCAGCCCCCCGCCCGGCCAGCCGCCCCGTCCGGGAGGGAGGTGGGAGGGGTCAGCCCCCCGCCCAGCCAGCCGCCCCGCCCGGGAGGTGAGGGGCGCCTCTGCCCGGCCGCCCCTACTGGGAAGTGAGGAGCCCCTCTGCCCGGCCACCACCCCGTCTGGGAGGTGTACCCAACAGCTCATTGAGAACGGGCCATGATGACAATGGCGGTTTTGTGGAATAGAAAGGGGGGAAAGGTGGGGAAAAGATTGAGAAATCGGATGTTTGCCGTGTCTGTGTAGAAAGAGGTAGACATGGGAGACTTTTCATTTTGTTCTGTACTAAGAAAAATTATTATCCTGTTGATCTGTGACCTTACCCCCAACCCCGTGCTCTCTGAAACATGTGCTGTGTCCACTCAGGGTTAAATGGATTAAGGGCGGTGCAAGATGTGCTTTGTTAAACAGATGCTTGAAGGCAGCATGCTCGTTAAGAGTCATCACCACTCCCTAATCTCAAGTACCCAGGGACACAAACACTGTGGAAGGCCGCAGGGTCCTCTGCCTAGGAAAACCAGAGACCTTTGTTCACTTGTTTATCTGCTGACCTTCCCTCCACTATTGTCCTATGACCCTGCCAAATCCCCCTCTGCGAGAAACACCCAAGAATGATCAATAAAAAAATAAAATAAAATAAAATAAAATAAAAAAAGAAGGAAACACCAGGAAAAGTGAAGGTGGAAGATGGAGGTGACCCTACTGCAGATGGGGTGCTCAGGGAGGGTTTCTCTGAGGAGGTGACATTCACTTGATTGGTGTATTAGTCTGTTTCACGCAGCTGTTAAAAATATATCTGAGACTGGGAAGAAAAAGAGGTTTAATTGGACTTATAATTCCACATGGCTGGGGAGGCCTCAGAATCATGGCAGGAGGTAAAAGGTACTTCTTACGTGGCAGCAATAGGAGAAAATGAGAAAGAAGCAAAAGCGGAAACCCCTGATAAACCCATCAGATCTCATGAGACTATCATGAGAATAGCACAGGGAAGACTGGCCCCATGATTCAATTACCTCCCCCTGAGTCCCTCCCACAACATGTGGGAATTCTGGGAGATACAATCCAAGTTGAGATTTGGGTGGGGACACAGCCAAATGATATCAATTGGCAAAAGGGACGGGCAGGGCCTATGAAAGTCTTCTAAGAGAGAGAACAGCAGTGCCTAGCACGGTGTCCCCTATGTCCATCCACAGGGATGGAAATAGGACAGTGAGTGGGGGTGGGGGGTGTGAGCCAGGCAGGCAGGGCCCAGACACCGTGTGATGGGTGCAGGGGTGGGACCCACGGAGGCTCTGAGAAAGGCCTGGGCCTCAGAAGACAAGGAAACAGGAAGACCCACTTACAGGCCTTCACAACTTTCTAGGGCACAGACAGTGCAAAATGGCTCAGGCCAGAATGTGGTTTAGGTTTCAGAAGGGTGCTGGGTCCCTCATGCTCTTCTTGAGGCTAAAGGGCTCCAGCTCCTTGGGCCCTTTCCAAGCAGACATTGTTCTGGGGCCCCGGCTACATGGATGGCCTTCTGATGGTTGTTGTCTGCATCCAGGCAGGGGGCATGAGCTGACCTGCTCCTTCCTTGGCCAAGTGGACAGATGAAGGAAGCCTCTGCGGGAAGGATTGTTGGACTGGGAATTAGACTTGGAGTGTAATCCAAATGCCCCACGGGCCCTGTCTCTTCTCTGGAGCTCGGCTTCATGTAAACTGGGGGACAAGGGATGGCAAGACCAGCTCGCAGGACCCTTGCCCCTCCACCCTGTGATGCTTCCAAATGGTCTCAGGGGCCACCTTTTTCAGGAAGAATTCTCTGGTTATTGAATAAAGGAAGGAGACCAGGCACAATGGCTCACGCCTGTAATCCCAGCACTTTGGGAGGCTGATGCGGGCAGCTCTCTTGAGGTTGGAAGTTCGAGACCAGCCTGGCCAACATGGTGAAACCCCATCTCTACCAAAAATTCAAAAAAACAAAATTAGCCAGGCATGGTGGTGGGCACCTGTAATTCCAGCTACTGGGAGGCTGAGGGAGAATTTCTTGAACTCGGGAGGCAGAGGTTGCAGTGAGCCAAGGTTGCGGCACTGCACTCCAGCCTGTGTGATAGAGCAAGACACTGTCTCAAAAAAAAAAAAAAAAAGAATAAAGGAAGGAAACACATTTTGAGTGGCACTTATATCAGGCTCTAGACTAGGTGTTGATTTGGTGGGGCTTGCTTTTGGTTTTTGTTGTTGTTGTTGCTGTTTTCTCCCTTTCACAAAACCTGAGTCCTATCTAGGGCCAGGAGTTAGATTCCAATTTCTAGATTTTCATAATTCTATGTTGCACAAGACAGACATCCAGGAGACCGAGGGATAGATTATTAGCAAGTGAATAAAAGATGATTTAGCTAGAGAAAATGTAGCAAAAAGGAATCAGGATGAGGGGATTAGGAATGGCAGAGGGGGAATTGGGGAGGAGGGAGTTGGAGGTGGGGCTGGGACAAACAGAAAGGAGGTGGGGGAAAAGGCCAGGGAAATCAAGTCCCAGAGTTCAGCGGGGACCAGAAACCACAGTCTTAGCAGGGCCTCAGGAGAGCAGCAAGCTGTGTTTACCTTGGAAGGGTGGAGAGAGGACTGCAGGGAGCTGAGTGGGGAGGAAGGGGGAGGCGGCAGCACAGAGGAAGCAGGGGACAGACAGGAGGAAGAGATGGTGCCCTGGGCCAGGTGGGGTGGAGGGGCCCTCTGTTCTTCAGGAGGCTCCAGGCTGTCCTTCAGCTCACTTGTAGCTTTGGATAGGCCTTTGAAGGCTACAGGGCTGCCAGATGCCCTCTTGACTTTTGAATCCTGTTCATTGACCCTGGTAGCAGCTTGGACACCTCCGTCCTCTGCTGAATGCCTCTGGGCCAGGTGTATTGGGCACATGGCAGCGTCGTCATCTTGCCCGGTTCTCACCCACAGCTGTTGGAGTCTACACATGGTCAATTTGTCCCAAGGTTTTTAATGTTCTTGAACCTCAGGGCCTTTGTTTTCTCCATTCTGAATGCCAGGATTCGACATGGACTCTCTCAGGTGTTTTGCCATAGGCAATACATTCCCATTGACTCTGGTTACCCTACGGTGCACTAGATGTCAAAACCTCTTCATCCTTTCCAACTGAGACTTTGGTCCTTTGACCAACAACCCCCCCATTTCTTCCCTCTGCCACCCCTCTACACATCTGCTCCTCAGCCCCTGTTCACCATCAATCTACTCGCTACTTCTATGAGGTCAGCTTTTTTAGATGAACACTTCAGGGACATCACACGGAATTTGTCTTTCTGAGGTGATGGAGATGCTAAGTAGTGTGATTTTGTCATTCCAATGTGCACACATCCATCTAATCCTCACACTGTATCTCATAAATGAATGCAAGCATGATTTGCCAATTAAAATAATATTAAGAAGAACATAATAAATGTAATAAAACACAGGAAGTGTAGCTCGACTGCCCCACCCACTTGGTTTTTGTCTCGGCCCAGCTGTCCATTGGGTTCACTGGTGCTGCCTTATTTCTCCCTTTGACTTTTTTGTGCTAGTCAGAAACAACATAATTGCAGCATGAAACTGAAACATCTTTTGCCAATGGCATCCGTGGCTCCTTTTGGTCACAGAGATTGAGGTTACACCATCTGGCTTCCCGGGGGTTCCCTCCGACCAAGTCACCTCTTCTGGGTCTTCCACATGGAGTGAGCCAACTTCCCAGTGGGTTCCCTGAGACAAGTCTCCTTGGGGGTTCCCCCATAGCTGCTGGTGCTCTGGGGAGGGTGAAGTCACAGGCTTATGCTGGGGGCTTTGCTGGGAATGGCTGGCTTCATCTCCAGGCCAGGTAGGGTTTGCCCTGACTCCCAGGGATGCTCCTGTTCGTGCTTCTGTGAATTAGAAAGTGGGAAAGGTCGGCTGGTTTTGAGTCCTCCTCTCGGTTGGACAGGGAAGGTTGACTTAAATGTGGCAGATGGGGAAGGACAGGTGGGGCCCCCAGGAAGGAGGGATTGTGCTCCGATGTTGGAACCCTTTCTCCTCTGCACTTTTCTGAACTCCCTGATTAGGTAGGTGGCCATGGGATGACTTCTTTTTTTTTTTTTTAATATCGCTTCCTCGATATGCTCTGCCTAGAATCCCCTGGCCACTATGAGCTGGGTTGTTGTGGGGCCTGGGAGGTCCAGGAGTGGCTCTCTGTATGGCTTGAACCATGTCTTCTGGTCGCTATTGACTCAGGAGTCCCTCAACAGCTGGTCCAGTGGAAGCTGCTCCCTGGGGTTGAGTGTGAAGAATTTTTAAATATTTTTTTCCATTAAAATAAAAAAAAAAGTAGCAGTACTATTTTAAGTTTTGTTTTTTTTTTTTTCTGTATATCCTTACAGTTCTGCTCATAAAATGGCAGGTCCCCAGCCACCATTTTGCATACGATGATGCCAAGGCTCCAAACATTGATGGCAGGTCATTGGTACCCATCCATGGCCCAGGAAGAGTTCTGGGCCTGCGTAAGGGCGAGTCCCATTAAACGTTCTCAGTCTCTCTTTGCAAATGTTGAACTAAACCCAAAGTCGGCTATTTTGATGTTACGTTCTTTGTCAAAAAAGATATTAAGGTTTGTTCTAACCCCAGGAGAGCTCTTCCCAGCTGTCTCTTTTTCCATTTCTCTCTTGCAGACTTGCCGGCCTCCAGTGTAGCCCACACCTCCTGGACTCTCCGTCGCCTCCCAGTTGCCTTTCAGCACAACCTCCACTGTTCTGGAGAGTGCGCTTAGGCTTGGACTTCTCCGAGCTCCATTGCACATGAAGTCAGTTTCTTCAAAAGCTACTCACACCTTCTGTTTTCTGCCTGCTGCTTTCCCAGGCAAACTCTCTGAGCCAGAGCTATGGTGCTGGACACAGTGGTGCATCTCTCTCTGGTGACACCTGCACATCAGGAGCTGGGTGCTTGGTGAATGGGGCAGTAGCCCCAGTGTTCATCGGCTGTCCTCTCTTAGCAGGGAACCCCACCCCATGAGCCAGGGAAGGGCGGCCGGGCCCCAGTATTCTCATGGGTGCTGCACTCAAGGCAGAGCCTCCATCCCATGAGTGGGGCCTGTGTGGAAGACAAGAGCCTCCACCTCTCAACCCACTTTCCTGGGCTGAGCAAGCGGTCTCAGCAAGCGGTAGCTGGTGGCATGATAAGAAAAGATAACATTCTGCCCCTCTTAGCAAGCAAATCTCCCAGGCAGGAGCTAGGGGGTGAGGGAGTCCTGTGATCTTGGAGAAAGCAGTCTGGAGTGGAGCCCCCCTCACTGGGGTGGGGAGTCAGGGAGGACGGGCATCTTATTTCACACACTGCAGGCCCTTGGTGTTCTTCCCAGGTGTTAGTAGGTTTTCTTAATAAACGCTTCTTCATTTGCTGTGTGCCCTTGGAATCATCCCAGAGATTTTATTTTAGTTTTTATTTATTTATTTATTTATTTAAGACGGAATTTTGCTCTTGACACCCAGGCTGGAATGCAACGGCACGACCTTGGCTCACTGCAACCTCTGTCTCCCGGTTTCAAGCAATTCTCCTGCCTCAGTCTCCTGAGTACTGAGATTACAGGCACCCACCACCACGTTCAGCTAATTTTTATATTTTTAGTAGAGATGGGGTTTCACCATGTTGGCCAGGCTGGTCTCGAACTCCTGATCTCAAATGAGATCTCTGGACCTCATCATCCCAGAGATTTTCAATGGCTGTGTATTTCATGACTTCTGCCACCTTCACTGAGGCAGTCCAGGTTGGAGTGCAGTGGAGCAATCTCCACTCACTGCAAGCTCCGCCTCCTGGGTTCGCGCCATTCTCCTGCCTCAGCCTCCTGAGTAGCTGGGACTACAGGAGCCCACCACCATGCCCGGCTAATTTTTTGTATTTTTAGTACAGACAGGGTTTCATGATGTTAGCCAGGATGGTCTCGATCTCCTGACCTCGTGATCTGCCCACCTCGGCCTCCCAAAGTGCTGGGATTACAGGCGTGAGCCACCACACCCGGCCTGCTTTTTTTTTTTTTTTTTTAAAGAGACAAGAATCTTGCTATGTTGCCCAGGCCGGTCTCAAACTCCTGGGCTCAAGCGATCCTCCCAGCTCGATCTCCCAAACATTTAAATGTTTTTAATACATTAAACAAGAATTGCATGTCTTGAGTATTGTTATAAAATTCAAATAATTATTTGATCTATAGAATAAAATATACTACCATTAGGTGACAGGTTTAGATTAACCCTTTGATTCCGAATCCCATGCACTTTCTTCCCACCTCTATCTACTTCCTGGGAGAGACTCTAAGCTTCTACTATGAGTTTGGCATCAATTGGGATTTTAATCCTGTTCCTGAGCCCCTCTGTGTGGAACACTTGCCAAGACAGAAACTGCAGGAACCCCAGAGTCCTTGCTCCTCAAACACTTTAGGATTTCAAGGAGGAGGAGTCTCCCCATTGATGCTTCATCCTTATACGTCTCCACATTCCCCAAGCCTTTTTATTACAGGAAGCCTCAGAATTAACCCTCCCCATCGTAAACACAAGGACTGCCAGGCTGGGCCTCTTTCTACAGTAAGCCCCTCACTTAGTTCTGGGAGGACTCCGAGAAACGAGGAGACTCTAGACAAACTGGGGCAATTTCCCTCCAGCTTTCTCAACTGAGGTCTACTATTCCACTTCAGATAATGTGGCCGAAAATAGGTAATTCCATTTCCATGTGCATAATCTCTCCCGTTACTTACACCAATCATGGCTTCTGGGTGGTGGAGCAACACACACTATAGAATGAAGGAGAAACAAGGGGCTTCTTCAGGGACCCAGCCTCAGGGTGGAGACGTGGCTTCCTTCCTAGGAGGAGGACACAGTAGGGTGTGCATTGCAAGGTGGAGAAAGATAAACTCAGCCACGGGGGTTGCAGGGCGATCCCCACTCGGCCTGGTAGGACCCACTAATTGAAATAGGTTCTTGTTGCTTCTGAACTCCTTTTCAAGGAAACAAGTCAAGGTGTTTGTTGAAGTAAGCATAAAATATCACATGAGGCAAAATCATGGCTTCAGAATCCCTTTGATGATGAATACTGTGTGACACAGTTTGTTTTAATAGAATCTGCTTGCTCTGTGGGTGTCAAAATTTTTCTCCACAAAACAAAAATAAGTGAGACTGCTCAATTTAGAAAAAATATCACTTTCCCCAGAAGGAACATGTTTCTCATACTAAGATTCTCCAAGAACCTTCACTGTCTAGAACAGTTTCCCAGTGGTGCCTGAAGAGACATCTGCTGTGAGGGATTAAATGTTCAAATGAGTGACACCAAGACCAAGAGCTCTAGGAGTTCCGAGACAGCCACCCATGGACTCCATGGGAGAAGGCAGGGCTCAGGGCCCTGGGCTGGACCTGAAGAGGGAGGAGTACAGAGGGGCTGAGGGAAGTCACAAGAGTGTCCAGGCCATGTGTGGATGGGAGGGGGAGGATGGATTCCAGGGTTTTAAAGTTCAGAAGAGTCAGCACGCCATCATCACCTGAATCCAGCCACAGCCATTTGCACAGTGATTTCTGTGCTCCATCTAAGCAAGAGTGAATCCTAGCCATGGCTGGTCACTGCCAGGGCAAGAACTGAGGCCTCCTCATTCCTTGTCATCCCAGAGCTCAGCCCTGGGCAGCCCAACTTAGTCCTCCCAGAGGTTCTGATAAGCACATCGCTGGGCTGAGATCTAGCTCAGGCATGGAAGGGTTTCATCCTCACCCTGTCTAGCCTGTTGGGCCCCACACTAATCCAGGTGCTTTCTCGGGCTCTGATCCAGGGTCAGAGGAGATGAGCGTGGGCTCCTGAAGACAGTAAGTTGTCCCCATCCCCTCTGTCCCTGCTGCTCTGATCCTGTCTGGACAGGGTTTGCTGGTCCGTGCTTTTCACCTCTGTGTACAAGTGCAGCCCCTGCTGGGAACCCTCGACCTGGATGCTGTCCTCCCCGTTGCAGCATCCCCAGGCCTCACAGAGGGCCTGGCCCCTGTACCTGTGCCCAGGAAGCTCCCATAAATGGATGATTGGATCAGAGCAGACACCTACTCTGCAAGGAAACACCAGGGTAGAAGAATCATGTCTTCTTCATCTTTATATCTCTGAAGCTGCGCTCTTCTGTGTGGCAGTCACTACCGGGAGGTGCTCCTTATTACTAACTTAATTAATCCATTCAATTAATTAGAGTGCAAGAAAACACTGTGTTCAACAGCCACATTTCATGTGTCCCTAGGAGTTATTTGCCACTGACCATAGCACTCAACAGCACAGAGAGCATTTCCCTCTGCACAGAACACTTGGGTAGCTGTTCTGAGCCCAGCCCAGGTCTGTTGAATGAGCTCATCTACCTCACAATGTTTCCATCACGGTTAGAATTCCAGGTAGGTAAGTCTGTAGCGAGAGCTGTAACATTGCAGCAAAAATGGGGAAGTGAGAGGAGGAAAGGAGACCTTCTCACTTGATGGTTTACAATTGTCAGCAACGCCTCATTGATGGTCTCGAACTCCATAGAGCCCAGGGAGGGTAAGAGAGCCCAGAGGACAGAGAAGCATGATCTTGTGTCATCTAATGTGACCTCAATGGAGTAGGAGGGATGGGTGAGTCACTCTCTGGAATACCCTTCTTGCTGATGTTTGTGGCCCCTGGACACCATGTGGTGCACGCAGCAGTGAGGATGAAGACGGGAGGTAGGGGACTCCACTCCAGGTAGGACCCAATGGGAGAGGCTGCTGGGGAGCACGAGGGTTACACTTGAGGCTATGAAGCCTTGGAAGGGAGCTGTGAAATCAGAAATAAATGTGTAAAATCTGATTTGTTCTTTTTGTATTTTAACGGCATACAGAGATGGTGCCTCTGGGCTCTGAGTGTGCTGTGTTTGCCATCATAGTATTTAAAGATGGTCTTTCTCAAAGCACCAGATCTTTCCTGCCTTTGCCACAGCAAACTTCAGAGCCTTTGATTATGTTTCACCTCTTGGGAATGATACACAAAAGATTTTGGTTTGACTTTTGGGTGTTGACCTCCAGGGGAAGGAATCTGGTGAGACACAACTCTCTCATAGGCAGATACCTGATCTTGGAGGCAAAGTCCATCTAGTGAGTGCGGGGTGCTGGGTGAGAAGTCGGCCCTCTCCCTCTGTACTTTCTTTTCTTTTTTTTTTTTTGAGATGGAGTCTCTCTCTGTTGCCCAGACTGGAGTGCAATGGCACGATCTCGGCTCACTACAACCTCCGCCTCCTGGGTTCAAGCGATACTCCTGCCTCAGCCTCCTGAGTAGCTAGGATTACAGGCGCATGCCACCATGCCTGGCTAATTTTTTGTATTTTTAGTACAGACGGGGTTTCATTGTGTTAGCCAGGATGGTCTGGATCTGACCTCGTGATCCGCCTGCCTCGGCCTCCAAAAATGCTGGGATAATAGGCGTGAGCCACCGCACCCGGCCCCTCCCTCTGTACTTTCAGGACTTGGAGCAGAACCTTCATGTTCTGTCCTCGTAACTGGGGGACCAGTTAAAGGGCAGCCAGGTTTCTGCTGGGGCATGGGCCAGCTGTGCCCGCCGGTCTCAGGTGTAACAGGCTAAGTCGCCCACAGTGGTGTAGACAGACCCATTGTGAGATGGATGCCTTAAACTTCTTGACCTGTGTTATCCTCCCAGCAGCCACGTGAGCTTGCACACCACTGTGCTCTCCATTGAGTAGTCGTAGAGGCTGAGACCTGAAGAGGCCAAGCCGCTTGTCTGAGCTCGGGGAGGGCAGAGCTGGAGTCTGAACTCAGATCCATGTGGATCTGCACTCTCATGTGGGAGCCACGGGCCCCAGGGCTATTTACGTGTAGTTAGAAAATGAGCAGTTTGGCCGGGTGCAGTGGCTCATGCCTGTAATCCCAACTCTTTGGGAGGCTGAGGCAGGCGGATCACGAGGTCAGATCAAGACCATCCTGGCTGACACAGTGAAACCCCGTCTCTACTAAAAATACAAAAAAAAAAAAATTGCCGGGCATGGTGGCAGGCACCTGTAGTCCCAGCTACTCAGGAGGCTGAGGCAGGAGAATGGCGTGAACCCTGAAGGCGGAGCTTGCAGTGAGCCGAGATCATAGCACTGCACTCCAGCCTGGGCGACAGAACAAGACTCCGTTGTCTCGAAAAAAGAAAAAGAAAAGAAAAGAAAAGAAATTGAGCAGTTCAGTTCCTGAGATGCATAAGCCTCCAGTCCAGGGTTCACTGGCTGCACGGCGAGTGCTGCCACCTGTGGGACAGGGCAGGAGCAGAGCTACACCGGTCCTTGGCCGGCGCTGGTGCAGGCCCCAGGTCTGACTGTGCTGCTTGCCTCTAGTTTTGCTATGTGATTTTTAAAGAGCACGATGCCTTTTTTTAAAGTTTCATTTTCATGTTTGAGTCTCCTTTTGCAGAAACTTCAGGCCTGTAGAAAATCTGCCAGCGCAGTCCAAAAAGAGGTTTCCCTCACTCACCTGAAAGCCGGTTGCCAGCCTCATGTCCCATCACCCTGATGATTTTCAAGTGCTTTACGACCATTAGTGACGTTGTCCTGCATGGCCACCGTGCAGTTATGGTGCTAGGAAACGAACACTGATGCCGACCATCTTCAGACCTCATTCGAGTTTGCTCATTTGTCTCGGTTTTTTTTTTTTTTTAAATTGAGACAGAGTCTTACTCTGTCGCCCAGGCTGGAGTGCAGTGGCACAATCTTGGCTCACTGCAACCTCCACCTCCCGGGTTCAAGCGATTCTTCTGCCCTCAGCCTCCCGAGTAGCTGGGACTACAGGCGCGCGCCACCATACACAGCTAATTTTTTTTTGTATTTTTAGTAAAGACGGGGTTTCACTGTGTTAGTCAGGATGGTCTCAATCTCCTGACCTCGTGATCTGCCCGCCTGGGCCTCCCAAAGTGCTGGGATTAAAGGCATGAGCCACCACATCTGGCCCAGCCCTTTTTTTTTTTTTTAGACAGTCTCCCTCTGTCACTAGGCTGGAGTGCAGTGGTGCAGTCTCGGCTCACTTCAACCTCTGCCTCCAGGGTTCAAGTAAATTTCCTGCCTCAGCCTCCCGAGTAGCTAGGACTACAGGTGTGCACCACCACGCCCAACTACTTTTTGTATTTTTAGTACACATGGGGTTTCACCATGTTGGCCAGGATGGTCTCGATCTCTTGACCTCATGATCTGCCCACCTCAGCCTCCCAAAGTGCTGGGATTACAGGCATGAGCCACCGTGCCCAGCCATTTGTCCCAGTTTTATCCCTTTCAGCAAAAAGAAAAACCCCAGCCCTGAGTCACCTGCCGCATGTGTCCTGTTTCTCTTAGTCTCTGTCAGCCCGGGACAGCCTCCTGGGCTTTGACTTTGGACACCGTGACACTTGTGAAGAGGACAGTCTGGTTATCTGTAGAGCAGCTCTCATTTTGGGTTTATCTGCTGTTCCCTCATGGCCAGGCTCTGAGCACTGCGTCTTTGGCAGGAATATCACCGAAGTGAGACTCCATTCTTCCACTTGCTTCTGATCTGGGGAAGTCACCTTCTCACCCCTTTGTAATTATAAGTCCTTTGTTGGGGAGTTTACCATCTTCTGGTTTTTTTTTTTTTTTTTTTTTTTTTGAGATGGAGTCTCACTCTGTCACCAGGCTGGAGTGCAGTGGCGCAATCTCGGCTCACTGCAACCTCTGCCTCCCGGGTTCAAGCAATTCTCCTGCCTCAGTCTCCTGAGTACTGAGATTACAGGCACCCACCACGTTCAGCTAATTTTTGTATTTTTAGTAGAGATGGGGTTTCACCATGTTGGCCAGGATGGTCTCGATCTCCTAACCTCGTGATCCGCCCACAATTACGCCATTAAAGTCCAGCTCTGGGCCGTAGGGGATGATGGGGACGTGGTGGTTCCTCCATCACAACCTTCTCCAGAACTCAGCTCACGGTGACTCCAGGCAGACGTCCTCACGTCCTGATGCCTTTGAGAGCTGAGTCGCCCTCCTGGAGGCAGAGCTTTCTGGACCAGCTCTGCAGTTTCTGGTGTTTTGTAAAACTATGACCACGAGCCGGAGAGTCAGAGACCTGGATTCCAGTCCTGGCCTTGTCACTTCCTGCCTGTGGCCTTAGCCAGGGAACGTTACCCACCTGAGCCTCAGCCTCCTGCCCTGGGAAACAGAGCTGGAGGGGATCCCATGCCCAGCTCGGCAGATTGATCCGCTCAGGGCCCCTCTCTGGGCCTGGCGCATGTTGGATGTTGAGGGGATGCTGGTTCCCTGTCCCCTTCTGACAGCCCCGTCCCCTGCCATGTCAGGCCCCCCAAGCTTCCAGGCAGCTCTGCACCTGAGCCGAATGATAACAGAAATCCCAGACACCAAGGCAGGTTGGAGCTGGATTGTCCTGGATTTGTGGTCAATTTGACATGTGACACCTAGAGTAACCAGGCGAGGAAATAAATTACGGCGTGGCCCGGCACCGGCAGATGCTGGGGAGATGGAAGCATGGCGGCAGATTGCTCTTGTGCAGGGGAACAGTGGGCTCGTTTGTAAATGCAGGCTGAAGTGGGAGGCTGCGTGGGAAGGATCCCTGAAGTCAGCCTGCCCAGCAGCCCACACTCCATGCTACACCACGTCCCCGACATCTCCCCAAGCTGGGATCTGGGGAGAGTGAGACGTGGTGCCGTCCGGTCCCCAGGGCTAAGGGACCAGTCATGGAGAATCGTTCCCCAGAGCTGGGTGGTAGGCCAGGGAGGTGGGACAGGAGCAGGCAGCCTCAGGGAGGCGAGGGCGCTGCTGGTCCGGCCTCGGCTGGGCTGTGTTCTTGGGCCTGTTGCCTCATCTCTCAGGCCTCATTGTTCCTGTGTGGACTCAGCGGCTGGTCTTGCATGTCAGTGTTTCCATCACGTATGCAGGTGGATAAAATGGAGTTTCCCAGGCTTCTTGCAGACACAGCCTGGGCCAGGGGCCAAGCATCTGCATTTTTCACAAGGACATGGGCAGATCTGATGTAGGAAGCTGCAGGGACATGTCTCTAGGTAGCCCCAGCCCTGACTAACGGGACACCCCTTATTTCTTCAGTGTTGGCCCCAGTGGGAGGGGCTGATAGGGAATGCTGTGGTAGATTCTGACAGACCTTGTGTCTGGGTTTGATCAACAAACTTTAACAACGCGTTCCTTTTCCAGAATCATCACTTTCTTGGAGTCTATGTCCATCCCTCCTCAGAGCACAGACCCCCTGAAGGTTCAGACTAGTTCTACTGTGAACACTATAGATCTATTATCACTTCAGAGCATAGACCTGCTGTGTGTTAAGGACAGAGCTGCTAGGATTCTGAGTGTAGACCCACTGAGGAACAGGAACAAGTTTGAAGGAGCCTTGTTCAGATAGAATGGGATGAGTCCAGGTTTGGTCCTCGGGAGGTCAGCTCAGGACTCAGGGCTGAAGGCGGCATCAGGCATCTGTTCCTCAGCAACAGGTCCCTCTCTGTGGAGGAGGCCAGCGCCATAATTGTGGGGCCCCTAGGTGGGTGGTGTGGGGCCTCCAGGTAAGTGGTGTGGGGCCTGCAGGTGGGTGGTGTGGGGCCTACAGGTGGGTGGAGTGGGGCTTCCCATGTGGATGCTGAGGGCCCCTGTGCTGAGGGTGGTGGTCCCATCCTCCTCCACCCTGCTGCCCCTGAGGCCTGAGTGCTCAGGCTCCCCCTGCCTGTTTTAGGGTTCACCATTCACCCTGGTGATAGGTGGGTGCTGGAGACCGGCCGCCTGTATGAAATCACCATTGAAGTTTTTGACAAGTTCAGCAACAAGGTCTACGTATCTGACGTCAGTGCCTGTTCAGGTCCTGGCTGGGGGGATGAGGTGGGTCGTTGTCTGACGCAGCTGCTGGAAAGCAGCCCCCAAAGCAACAGGAGCCCCCATGCAGGATGACTGAGGAAGGGTCCTGTTTCTAGTGGCGCTCCTGGGTCTGTGGGAGACACTGCCAAGGCATCCTGGGGCATTTCCAGAGCCTGTGAGCCTGCACACCCGCCCCACCGCAGAGTCCCTGTAGGGCTGGAGCCCTGTAGTCCCTGTAGGGCTGCCACAGCGGCAGGGCTTCAGGAGAGGGGGATACGGAGGAGGTCTCTGCCCGCCACTCTCCCACCCCCTTTTCCCCAAGCTGGGGACCTCAGAGGATTCATTCTTCTCCCGCCCTGCCGAGAGTCAGGGAGCACGTCCTGGCCTTCTCCCTGCTGAGCCCCAGAAATACCTGGAACCCTGCGTGACAGAGGCCGAGCTCAGCACGCTTTCTGGTTCTGGAAAGGGGTGTCAGACAGATGGGGAAATGTGCAGGAGCCTTGGCCACCTCTCTGTCCCCTGTGAGAAATTCCAGGCTCATCAGTGAGTGCCTCCAGGCCCTTCCAGGTGGTGTTGGAGGTTTGTTTGTTTTTTGAGATGGAGTCTTGCTCTGTTGCCCAGGCTGGAGTGCAGTGGAGTGATCTCGGCTCACTGCTACCTCCACCTTCTGGGTTCACGCTATTCTCCTACCTCAGCCTCCCCGAGCAGCTGGGACTACAGGCGCACACCACCACGCCCGGCTAATTTTTTTTATTTTTAGTAGAGACGGGGTTTCACCGTGTTAGCCAGGATGGTCTCGATCTCCTGACCTCGTGATCCACCTGCCTCGGCCTCCCAAAGTGCTGGGATTACACGCATGAGCCACCGCGCCTGGCCCTGTGTTGGAGGTTTTAGAAAGAGGTGAGGTTCCTCTCGGTGTCCTTGAAGAAGCCATTGCTTTGCTTGTGTTATCAAACAAGGGCTGGGATGGTCACCATTTGCAGTTAGCTGTAGGGGACGTGATGTCCTTTTTTTGGTATTTACTGGTTCCTTGTTGAGACCTTGGTAGGCTCCAAGCTGCCCCAGGTGCCACACGGGGAGATGAAACAGGAGTGCAGGTCATCGGGCCATGCAGGGAGGGTGCCCTGGGTGGGGACAAAGGCCATAGTGGTTAGAGCTCTGTTCCAGGGCCTGACCTGCCCGTCTGCTGCTAGTGGAGGCTGCTGAACACCAGGGGGCCCCTTGGCCTGGCCCGGCTGCTGGTTTCAGTTCTGTAGCTTCTTGCCCAAACTCTGACTTTCTGGAGTCACCCCAGAAGCACCTCTCACCTGTCCTGCCTCGCCTTCCAGAACTTCTGAATTGAAACTGTGCTTCCTGCTGAGTTCTTTGAGGTGCTCTCGGCCTCCCAGAATGGGTCATACCATCACGTCAGGGCACTAAAGAGGGGACAGATGGCCATTGACGCGGCCCTCACCTCTGTGGTGGACCAGGCAAGTTGGTGTCTCCCCTGCGTCGTGCCTTGGCCTATGAAGCCCTCCTCTGTAGGCAGAAATGTCAGCCCAGGAGGGCCATGGGTCGAGTTGGGCCACCAGTGTCCCTTTGCCTGTTTGGGCTACTTACATCCTGGGTTCTTTTTTCCTTTGTCTTTAAGAAGCCCATCAGCCTTAGGGAGCAGAGCTTTGCTGATCGGAAAATCGGCCTGGGTGTTCCCATTTTCCTACCCTGCGCAGAAGGCCTCCCGGCCTGGAAGGGGCCGCAGGCTGTAACAGGAAGAAATGCCCATGCACCGACAGTGACTCCTGCCAGAGTCGGCCTCCTCATCTCTGGGAGCTGGGTGGGCTGCTTTAGCTCTCAAGCCTCAGTTTCCCCATCTGTAAAGTAGGGGGTACACCACGTCCATCCTGCCGGGGTGCCCTGAGGATTCAGTCAGGCAGCACTTCCAGGAGTGGCTGTAGCAAAGCCACGGAAAGCCATCCCTGTGGAGAACGAGAGGGTGGCAGGGTGTCTGGAAACTTCCTCTCCACTCTCCCACAAAATCCACCTTTGTGGCCTGATCCCCAGGGAGGGGTGGGGGTCCAGTGACTGGGAAAGACTGCTGATGACATGGTTGTCATAGTGATGTGTGGCACCCTCACCCCTTGTAGGATAGAGGGGTCCACACACTATGGGTGCCTGTGTGGAACCAGCAGGAGGTGGAAATTCACATCCCCATCACCCTGTATCCCAACATCTTGACGTTTCCATGGCAACCAAAGACAAGTACTTATCAGTACACAATAAAGCTACATGAGACCCCCACTTCTGGGTGCATTCCTCTGGTGTTTCCATAGGATTGTGGCTTTTCGTCCATTCTATTACTTTTTTTTTTTTTTTTGAGACAGAGTCTTGTTCTGTCACCCAGGCTGGAGTGCAATGGCACAATCTCGGCTCACTGCAACCTCTGCCTACTGGGTTCAGGTGATTCTCCTGCCTCAGCCTCTCAAGTAGCTGGGACTACAGGTGTACACCACCATGTCCAGCTAATTTTTGCATTTTTAGTAGAGACAGGGTTTCACATGTTGGCCAGGCTGGTCTCGAACTCTTGACCTCAAGTGATCCTCCCACCATGGCCTCTCGAAGTGCTGGCATGAGCCACCACGCCCGGCCTCATTCTGTTACTTTTAACGTTACTCTCTAGTGGCCTACTTTAAATCACAGTCTTTATGATTTCTGTTATTTCCTGAGGTTTCCATCATAGCAATGCATTTTTTGTAATCAGGAAAAAGCCCAACAAAAACCAATAGTGAAAAAATAGAGAAAAGAAAATACAATAAATTCTGGAATATTCTGGAATACAGATTTGAATTTCATTAACATTTCTTTTTCTAAAAGTTATGTTTTGAAAGCTATATATATCTGTATATAGATATAGATATATAGATATATGCTCTTAGAGAAAACATTCAAATTCAAGGCATAAGTATCTCCAACCCCATCACATGGGACGTGTCACTGCTTTGATCTTCCTGCCTGCACGTGGCATTAGCCAGCAGGACTCGCGTTAGACAGGGCTCGAGTCCTCGTGGTCAGTGCAGGGCACATCAGTCCTGCTGTCCCATGGAGTGGTGACAGGTGTCCTTTCTATGCACTGGCACTGGCTCTCTGCTCAGATGTGTCACCGTCCTGGCCCCTTGGGTTCTAGGGTTGTTTCCTCTGGTCTGGGAGCAGAGGTGCGGTCGCTGACCTCCCAGCAGATGATGAGGAGTGGGCAGGGGTGTGTGCTGGGAGCTTGTGTCTGGTCAGGGAGGCAGCGCCCTGCAGCTGGCTCGGTGGCCAGGGGTTCTGCCCACTGCAGCCTGAGCTTTGCGAGGTGCCACCAGATTCTGGGGCCTCTGTCATGGGCATGTGTGTTTGTGTGTGTCAGTCTCGAGGTCCCCAGAACATGAGGGCAGAAACAAGACAGGACAGAGAGGGCGAGGGCAGGGGGAGCCTCCAGCCAGACCCTGGCTGACACCACGTTTTTCCCTGCAGTTGGCATCGACCTTGTGTGTGAGTGAGTAAGTGGCCACAGGTGTTTTTGAGGATGTGAGAATGGGTGTGTTTGAATGTGTCTATAGGTATGTGTGTGAATGTGTAAGAAAGTGGGTATGTGTAGAGCTGTGTGGGTATGTGAGGATGTGTGTGAAGGTATAGGTGCACGTGAGTATGAATGGCTAGGTGAGTGTGTGTTGGCTTGTGTGTAAGCACCTATGTTTGAGGGTGTGTCCGTGGTCAAGTGTGAGCTTGGGTGAGTGCATGTGAACTGGTGAGTGGGAATGGTGAGTGGGTGAATGTGAGGGTAAATGTGTCGAGTGTGTGTGAATGGGTGAGCCTGTGTGAATGTGAGCGAGTATGTATAAGTGCGAGTGGCTGTGTAAATCAGTGAGCATATGTGTGTGAGGGAAGTGAGTGGGAGCATGTGAATGCGTGTGTGAACCTGTGGGTGTGAAGGGTATGTGATGGTGAGCTTATGAGTGTGAAGGGCACATGCCTGTGTGAACATGTGTGTGTGAGCACGTGAATGGGTGGATGATGTGTCTGAGTAGGTGTATGTGTACGAATCTGTGAGTGTGAATGGGTTAGTGTGTGGGTGTGAGGGGTAAACTGTGTGACCATTTTGTGAGCATGTGAATGAGAGGATGACAGGTGTGAGTAGGTGAATGTGTGTGAACCTGTGGGTGTGAATGGTATGTGTGAGGATAAATGTGTGGGTATGAGTGTGTGTGCATATATGTGTGAATGGATGCGTAGGTGTGTGTATGAATGTGAACTATGTGAATGGTGTGTGAGCATGTGAGTAGGAGGGTAAATTGTGTGTGAGTAGGTGATGTGTACGTGTGTCAACTGTAAGTGTAAATGGTGTGAGTGTGTGTGAGCATGACTGAGTAGGTATCAGTGTGAGTGTGAAGTGTGGGTGTGAATGGTGAGCATGTGTGAGGGTAAATATGTGTGAGTAGGTGTCTGTGGGTGTGAACTGTGGCTGTGAATGGTGAGCGTGTGTGAAGGTAAATCTGAGTGTGAGTGAGTAGGTGTCTGTGTGTGTGAACTGTAGGTGTGAATGGTGAGTGTGTGTCTGGAAGCCCAGAATCAGACTGTCGAGCTGGATCATTCAGACTCCATACATCCAGCCCCTTTATACAAACTGGGAGACTGAGGCTGGGCAGTGGTGGTGGGGAAGGGATCACACCCAGCGTTTGAAGGACAGCCCGGGTCAGAGCCCAGCCAGGAGCTCCTGACCCCCATCCTCCCATCCGCTGCTGCTGCAGGTGTGTCTGTGTCGGGAGCGCACTGTGTCCACCCCGCCTTGGTACAGCTAGGAGCATGACCTCCCCCACCCTGCACTTAGCTCACAGCCCACAACTCAACGGACATACTAGATGGCAGGGGCTGTGAGCCAGGCAGGGAGGGTGCTCTGGTAGGAGCCCTAGGGAGGGGTCTAGGGAGGCCGGCCAGGGAAGGAGCCAGCCATGGGGCCACCCCAGCAAGTCCCAGGTCCTGAGAACCCTCTGGGTATGTGTGGGCAGCAAAAAAGGCTATGAGGCTGAGTGCTCAGCTGGGGAGCTGCGGTCAGAGCCTTGGTAGGGGCCAGTGGCAAAGGCATTGGGAGACTTTACCCTACGTCTGGTGAGAAGCCATTAGAGACCTTCTGGCAGAGCCAGGACCCACCACTCAGACTTCTGTGTTGGGGCTGTGCGGACAGAACAGGAGGCTGGGTGGAAAGGGTAGAGAGGGTGGGGGCTCGGCAGCTGTGGGACCAGTTCTGGGGTAGATGGGGAGGAAGCCATGGGTTGGAAGAGAGTAGGGAAATCAGGGAGCAGTCCCTGTCTCTGGGCAGAATCACTGGCAAAAGTTTGGGAGGAGCAGGGTCTGTGTTGGCCACACCCAGGCTCCAGGTGAGGGTGGCAAGAGGAGCGGGATGCTGGGGTCTGCACGGGAGAGAGGCTGACCTCGGGCTAGGGAAATGAACTGCATCATCAGGGTACTGGTGGTGTTTGCAGCCCCAGGACTGAACAATCCCCTAGATAAGGAGGAGAGAGAGAGCCCAGCAGCCACAGAGCCCCTTCCAGATTCCGACCCCAGAAACCCCACTGCTCACAAGCCAGAGCCTCCTCCAGACTGGCCAGGCCCAGGGAAGGGCGCGACTCAGGTGCTGGGCACATGGTCTTGCCCTGGTCTCTGCTAGGCCCTGGCCACTTCCAGAAGCTCCTTTTCTCATATTTGGCCATTTTTTTTGGTTGAGGACCTGGGACCTTCCCCACCTACAGTTTCCTTGGTGGGGTAATGCAGAAGGGATGACCAGCAGTGTGGGGGTAAGAGGCACCCTGAAGGCTGCAAGACCCCAGCCTGAGTCCTGGTCTCCTGGCTAACCCCCTCCTCAAGCCTCAGTTGCCTCTACCATATCATGAGGGCAAGTGGAAGATCCCACTTAGTCTATGCCAGCTCCCAAAGTCTAGAATTAGTCTTCTGAGCCCTGCGCCACAGGCAGCCTCCCTCTTGACAAAAGCCCCGCTCCCCTCACAGGCTGAGGAGCCGGCCCCCAGCCCGTGTGCCCACCAAGGCTGGTGTGGGGTCTGAGCTGCATCCTCCGTGTCCTCCCCCCGGGACTGGACAGCACTGCCCTGCCCACAGGGCTCCAGCCCTGTGTTGACTGCTTCTCCCCTGCAGTCCCAGCCAGGTCCCCCGGGGCACCGTGGCTGCGAGCCTGGCCGCTCTCCTCAGTGCCCGGACTGCGGCTCTACTTTGTGAGTGGCTGTACTGGCTGCGGTGCCCAGCCCTCCTCTCTCGAATCTCCTCTCCTCAGATGTCATGAAGGAGGCCACACCTGGGTCCCGCCTTCCTCCGTGACCCTGTCCCTTTGTCTCCACTAGAGCATCCCCTTCCTCCAGCACAGATGACCCAGGAGTGTCCCTGGCCCAGCCTGTGGCTGCAGCCAGCTCCAGAGTGGCATGTCCAGCATGCCACTCCTCCCCCCTGCGGTGGCTGCACAAAAGGCCAAGCGATGGCCCTGTTGCCCATGGCTGGGACTCCTTCAGGGGTATCGCTTCTGCTCACCCTTTAACTTTTCAAAAGACCCAAGCTCAAGCCCCTTGTATTAGTCCATTCTCACAAAGCTATAAAGAACTACCTGAGACTGGGTAATTTACAAAGATAAGAGGTTTAATTGGCTCACGGTTCCGCAGCTGTACAGGAAGCACAGGGCATCAACTTCTTGGGAGGCCTCAGGGAGCTTTTACTCATGGCAAAAGGTGAAGTGGAGCAGGTGTCCTACATGGCAGGGGCGGGACCAAGAGAGGGAGTCAGGGGAGGTGCAACACGCTTTCAAACAACCAGATCTCATGATAGCTCACCATCATGAGGACATCACCGAGGGAATGGTGCTAAACCATTAGAATCCACTCCCATGATCTGATCACCTCCCACCAGGACCCACCTCCAACACTGAGGATTAAAACTGAACCTAAAATTTGGGTGGGAACACAGATCCAAATCATATCACCTGCTCTGGGTCATGGCCGGGCTGCCTCCCCTCCACCTGGTTCCAGGGCCGGCTCTTTTGGGTTTCCTGCTCCCATCCCATCTCTGTACACTGCGGTCACTCCAGCTGTGGCCACCATGTTCCTCTCCCCAGAGTCCCCTCTGCACATCCTCAGAAGGCTCCTGGTCCTGAGCACCCTGATCAGTGGGCCCAGCACACACAGCTGGCTGTTCCTCTCACGTCCTCCATGCAGCCAGCCTGGCCTGGAAACAGCTGTGCAGTTTCGGCAGGCTCAGCTGGGTGGTGCTTTCAGAAACCCATCCCCGTTCTCTGTCAGGAAATTCACATGGTCCTTCTTCAAGAAGGTGGAGGCCTCAGGCCCTCAACGTTGTCCTGTGCCCTGGAGACAGTCCACTCAGCCAGTCCTTCCTGGGAAAGGAGCCCATCCTCCTCTGCAGGGACCTGGGCTGCAATCTCTCTTCTCACTTTTCTCAGGGTACCTGGTGCTCTGGGGGGCGAAGGCTGTTTCCTGGCTCCATGCCCCTGCCAGCCTCCCCCCTAAAAAACCCATCCAGGCTCACCGTTTCCTCCTAGACATAATTTCTTCCTCTCTGGGGTTTATTCCCTTGACAGGGTGACAAAATGGGGGGCGTGTGTGTGTGTGAAAGGGGTGAGCTGGAGAAGAGGGGAGGTGCTGCTAGCCCTCACCCAGAGAAGCCTGCTTGGGCCCAAGGCCACAAATGCACCAACCCACCCCCTTTTCAGGGCCTTTTACTCTGTCCACCTGTAAATGTTCCTGTCTCTCACTCTGGGAACCCCAATTCGCCAGCGTCCTGTCCCCCCTCACCCCTCCATCGCTTTTCTATGCTGGGCCTCTGGAGACTGTCTCCTGCCTGCAACCCTGCCACCCCCCAGCCCCAGCCCCACTCCTGTGCCCTACATCACCTACCCCCAAAGGGATCCCCTCTCCTACCCGAGCATCTTACCCTGGCCTCAGCTTCCCCAAGTGGAGGCTGCAACGGCTTCAACAAAAACTGTCCTGTGCCTTCTCTGCACCCCCAATACTGGAATCAGCAGAGATCGGGCCGCCAGCCTTGCACAAGCCCCCCCGGGGAGGGTGGGGCCCGGGACCCTCTCCAGGACATGGTCTCCTTTGCTGTGTTCCCGCCATCATTTCCCTGTGCACGGGAGAGGGGGAGGGGTGCACCCAGGAACTAAGAGCGAATCCCTTCCCCATCCTCTCACAGGAATTCCTCTGGGTGTCACAGCCTCACCCCCGCCCACCCTGTCCCACCCTGGAGCCCCCATTTGGCTTTGGGGGGACCGGCGGCAGCTACTTGTGGATTACAAAATGAGGCCCTGGGAACATCAGCGGCAACAGGGTGGGGGGAGCGGCGAGGCAGTGTCCCTAGAGAGGTCCTGCCGTAGTCCTCCATTCCCCGGGTTGTGCCTAGGCTCCCAGAGGCACAACCAGAACCCGGGGTGCAGCTGGAGAGTGCCTCCCATCCGCCATCCCCTTTGGATGGGGCGGAAAACCCCCGAGGATGTCCTAGCGCAGTTCACGTTGCCCCAGCCGACCACGTGAGGGCGCGCCCTGTGTTAGTTTGGACAAATTAAAGCTCCTCTTGCGGGCAGGCCTGGAGCCCCCCGGGCCGGGACAAGGCTCGGGTGCCCGTGGCGTTCTCTGGGTTGCCGGCCGCCAAGCTCCCGGCCGTGGGGCCTCCTCTGGGGCCCGCGCTATTGGCCTCCAAACGAGGTGCCCCCCTCCTCTCGCGCTCCCGCAGCCTAGGGTGCACCTCTCCGTTCGCCTTTGCTGAGCCCTTCCAGGACGCAAGTCGCCTCTCCACTGCGCCGGGAGCTCAGGCCCTGTCCGGGGCGCCCCGCTGCGGGCGCGGCGGCGCTGGAGAGGCGCGGTCCGAGAAGCCAGCGGCCGGAGAAGGGGCTCCAAGAAGCACAAGTTGGCGCTGGCCCCGGACCAGGCTGTTGTTGTTCTCAACGTGGTCCGCCATGAAGCTATAAAAAGCCGAGAGAAGCGCCCTCCCGCCAGAGCGCAGCGCGCACGCCCAGCGAGTTCCAGAGGCGCCAGTGGAAGCTGCGGCGGCGGTGTCTCGCGTTCGGCGGGATTTCTCTTCGCTCCGGCTCGGCCTAGGTCTACGTCCCCAGCTCCAGCCGCCGGCTCGGACTCGGTCTCTGACCCCCAACTCGGTCCCCTAGTCCGGCCCCGGCTCCGGGCCCCCCAACCCTCGCTCCGGCCCGGCCCGGCCCCCACCCCAGCCCTGCCGCCCGGCCCCAGGCCCGGCCGCGGCCGCTCCCGCCTGGAGCCGCCGCGCGCCCCCAGCCCCCCTGCACCCCCTCGGCCCCTCGCCTTCCTCTTCCCGGCGCGGCCCCCCGGCTTCCGCGCGCCGCCCGCCACCAATCCTCTTGCTACCATGTCCGTGGAGCTCGAGGAGGCCCTGCCAGTGACGACCGCCGAGGGAATGGCCAAGAAGGTGACCAAGGCTGGCGGCTCGGCGGCGTTGTCCCCATCTAAGAAGAGGAAGAATAGCAAGAAGAAGAACCAGCCGGGCAAGTACAGCCAGCTGGTGGTGGAGACCATCCGTAGGCTGGGCGAGCGCAACGGCTCGTCGCTGGCCAAGATCTACACCGAGGCCAAGAAGGTTCCGTGGTTCGACCAGCAGAATGGGCGCACCTACCTCAAGTACTCGATCAAGGCGCTGGTGCAGAACGACACGCTTCTGCAGGTGAAGGGCACCGGCGCCAACGGTTCCTTCAAGCTCAACCGCAAGAAGCTGGAGGGCGGCGGGGAGCGGCGCGGAGCCCCGGCGGCCGCCACCGCCCCGGCCCCCACCGCGCACAAAGCGAAGAAGGCAGCCCCGGGCGCGGCCGGCTCCCGGCGCGCGGACAAGAAGCCCGCCAGGGGCCAGAAGCCGGAGCAGCGCTCGCACAAGAAGGGCGCTGGCGCCAAGAAGGACAAAGGCGGCAAGGCCAAGAAGACGGCGGCCGCCGGGGGCAAGAAGGTGAAGAAGGCGGCCAAGCCCAGCGTCCCCAAAGTGCCCAAGGGCCGCAAGTGAGCGTGTCGGCCGGTCAGAGCGGCCGGCGTGGGCTTTTCGGTGTTTTTGTTTTTCTACCCCAAGTGACGTAGATTTTGTACGGCTCACGCCGGCCGGGGCCGCGAGGCCTGGTCTGAGCCTCAGGGAGGGGCCCCGGGTCCTCTCAGTCTTTCCCCTCCCCCAACGATGTAGCGTTTTTCGTTGTTTGCTTTAGGTTTTTGAAACAGCCCCGGCGACGCCTCTATTGGCTCTCGGCCTTGGCAACGGCCGTCGTCATGGTTACTGGCCCCTAGGCGCCGATGGCCGAGGCCGCGCCTGCCCACCGGGCGGGGTCGCTGGTTGGCCGGGCCCAGGCGCGCGGGGACGCGGAGGCCGCGCATCCTTTCCCAGCTCCCCACCCTCCTTGCCTTTGGGTGCGCGACAAACAATCGCTCCGGGCTCAGGGCTGCGCGGCTCTTCCCTTCATTCCATGGGCCTTTTTTTGGGCACAATAAAGCGTTTAAACCTTTCAGCCTCTCTCGTTTAATCTGAGTGGAATAGGGATGGGCGCCTTCGGCACGCGGGGTTGGATGGCGGGCCCCTCGGGTCCTTATACCCCAGATCTGTTGGCCAGGGTAGGCCTGGAGCCAGGGGCCTTCAGCAAGGGGTGGGAATTGCTGGCTTGGGACGAACTTAAAGTACCTGGGACAGGGAGATAGACAGGATCGGTCCCTTAGGAGGGATGGATCTATCTGCCCCCACAGGGGGTCCATCGGCCATTGCGGGGAGCGGGATGGGGGAGGGGAGAGGAGGGGGGATTAATGGGTTTTCAGAGTTAATGGTCAGGGACCTAAACTTGGCCTCCAGAGAGGTAGTTCTTACAAAGTCACACCAGACTGGCCTGTAAACTTAGTCATTCTGACTCCAGCGAGGGTTAGAGTGAGATGTGACCAGGACGAAGTGTGGTGGCCAGAGAGTGGAGTTCCTGACCACAATCCAACGTGTGGTCTCAGAAGGGTATTTGCTGTCTCTGAGCCTATTGGTTAAGCTAGAGTGCAAACGGGACCCAAAGGATTGCTGGGAAAATTAGTAGGAGCAGAAGGATCTCCAGCCCTGGGACATTCTGGTATCCAGCATGTGGGATAGTTGTCTGTCCAGTTGGGCAATAGGTCAAGGTCTATTCTAACAGATGTCCCTAAAAATGGACAACTGCAAAACAGGCCCCCAAGGGCAGTGGAAACAGGGAAGCTTCTGAAACAGTGGATATATACTCATACCAGCGTGAGTGACTGGAGTTAGGTGAGAATGCAGGAGAGCTCGTTTTACCCTCTGTGTAAGAAATTGCAGAAACTACAGGTGGAGGCAGGACCTCCTGGCCATAGACTGGAGAGGAGGGAGCATTGCTGGAGAGGAGCCCAGGCCTGCTGCTACCCCTGATCTGGGCCTGGCAGACCTCTCTGCCGCCTGGGTGAGTTGCCACTCCATTCCCTCTGCAAATCTTCATAACCCATTGTGGCTTCCTCCCTGCTGCTTCCTGCCTCACTGAACTGCAGAGCCAGGTGCCAGTGGGAGTCCTACCTGCCCTGTCCTGGGCCAAGCTCTGAGGACACAGCAGTAGACAAAACCAGTCCAGGTGCCTGCCCTGCCCAAGCTCCCTGGCTAGTGTGGAGATGGTGAATGATGAGGGCAGAGGTACTATCATCAGGACACACATGGCTGTGGCTGTTTGGGGTCTGGGGGCCTGTGGGCACCTAGGAGGCAGGTAGGCCTAGGCTGGCAGCTCCACACCTGCTGCCAGATCATGTCCCAGTTGTCCAAATCTGAATCTCTGGGGCTAGGCCTGGGAATCAGCCTTCTGACCAGATCCCCAGGTGGTTCTGGGGTTCAGAGAGGGCTGAGGAGGGCTGCAGCAGGGGCCATGGGCACCAAGGCCTCAGACATTTGTCCTCTGTGGACACTGCTCCTTCCTGCCTGCCTGTTCAAGTGCTCCATGAACACTGAGTTTCATCCCTCCTTGAACCTTTCTCCCTAACCAAGGCCTCCACCTTGCTGACCATCTGTCCTTTGAGGCCATCTCATCATGTCCAAGTGCCAGCCCAGGCCTGTCCCATACTCCTTGCAGGGCCAGCCAATAGGCCACCAGGAGCTAGGGTCCAGGAGAGGCCTTGGCATACCCAGGATTCTAAAGAGATGGTGCTGCTGGCCAGCTAAATCCAGTGCCCCAAAGTGTGCTTTGGGCTGTCCTTATTCCTCATTGCCTTTCCATATTTCTCACCAAAATCTATCCTTTGCTGTTCACACCACCTGCCTCCACTAGTGGCTGCCTCCTCTGGTGCTACCTCCCACCCCTGCCTCTTGTCACCCACTCTTCATTCCTTGGCATGGGCCCCAGCTTGCTGTCTTCCCCACCCTGAGGCTTGCACCCTCCAAGAGCACTTAAAAGGCACCCAGTAGACCAGCCCTCAGTGAGACAGGCCATCCACTTTGCTGATAATATTGTGAGCTTCCCTTGGGAACCCAGCCCCAGGGTGGTCACATGACTCAAGACCTGGCCAATAAGTGTTCAGTCTGTTATTCACTTGGCCACACTGATTAGGTCAGAAATGGGTTGTTGATCCAGTGAGTTCAATGAAAGTCAATCCTGGGACAGAATTCCCTGGAACTGCTGAGAAAGAGGTGCTCTTTTGCTAGGATCACTAAATTTTAGGGACATGGGTCCAGAGTTGCCAGTGACTATCTTTGTCAACATATAGGGAAAGCCCCCCTGAATAAGGAGCCAAGATAGAGAAAATTGGAGCCAGGAAATGGACAGATGCTTAATGACATTAATGGAGCTTCTGGATCAAGCCATGCCTGCAGCTTGGATAGCCCTGACTATCCTATGAGCCTATACATTGCTTTTTGCATACATTAGTTTGGGGTTTCTGTTGCTTGCATCCTGGTCTCTCACTCAAAGGAGTGACTCACCTAACCCTCCCCACATGCCCATCCTGGACCTTGTCGTCCTTTCAAATTGCTCTTCCTCTGAACCACCCTTCTAGTGTCCCATTCTCTGCCCATAGGCCCTTCCCCTCCCTTTTTCCCAGCTTGCTCACTTGGCCCCTTCAGCTGGGTGGCTTTCTGACTTTATGCGACCTGTGCTACTGTGGGGTTCACAGAGTAGGTCACCACATCCCTGAGAGGTGACCCTAAGTTGATGCCATATGACCACAACCAACCACACCTGAGTACTCACTGTGCCTGGTGCTCTGAGGACTCACAGGCCTGATCTCAACCTCAAAACAACCCCAATCTTGAAAAAGGGTGTTCAAGAGCCAGATTTACTGATGCAGTTGCTGAGACTCTGGGAGGCCAACAGCCAGGTCAAGATTCAAACCTGCTCTATGTAGCTCCAAAGCCTGTATTTTTCTGCCCTGATGCTCAGCTCCTACAGTGGGCTGGGGAGTCCAGGATCCACCATTTATTTACTGTGTCTCCTGGACTTGGCTTCAAGAAGCCTCAATTCCAGTTGAACATTGAAGGCACTTAACACTGTGAGGCTAAGGAGAAGGGCTTTCTAGAGGAGGTGACCCTGGTACAGCAAGGAGGCAAAGGACTTGTGTGCAAGACAGCCCAGGCTTGAGCTCTCCTCTGCAGCCCAGTGTGGATTAGTATTAAATATTAGGAGG